>NC_000009.12:107159945-107311461 GCF_000001405.40 Homo sapiens
GCTTATCTCAGATGAGATTTTGGACTGTGGAATTTTAGGTTAATACTGAAATGAGTTAAGATGTTGGGGGACTGTTGGGAAGACACGATTGGTTTTGAAATGTGAAGACATGAGATTTGTGGGGGCCAGGGGCAGAATGATATGGTTTGGCTGTGTCCCCACCCAAATCTCAACTTGAATTGTATTTTCCAGAATTCCTCCATGTTGTGGGAGGGACCCAGGGGGAGGTAGCTGAATCACAGGGGCCAGTCTTCCCCATGCTATTCTTGTGATAGTAAATAAGTCTCATGAGATTGGATAGGTTTATCAGAGGTTTCCACTTTTGCTTCTTCCTCATTTTTCTCTTGTCACTGCCATGTAAGAAGTGCCTTTCACCTCCTGCCATGATTCTGAGACCTCCCCAGCCATGTGAAACTGTGAGTCCAACTAAAACTCTTTTTCTTCCCAGTCTCAGGTATGTCTTTATCAGCAGCATGAAAACAGACTAATACATGCCTGTAACCCCAGCATTTTGGGAGACCGAGGTGGGTAGATAGCTGATGCCCAGCAGTTTGAGACGAGCCTGGGCATCATGGCAAAATCCCATCTCTATGAAAAAATACCAAAAATTCGCCGAGTGTGGTGGCATTTGCCTGTAGTCCCAGCTACTCAGTAGGCTGAGGTTGGAGGATCACCTGAGCCCAAGTAAGTTGAGGCTGCAGTGAGTTGTGATCTGCACTCCAGCCTGGGTGACAGAGCAAGGCCCTGTCTTAAAAAAAAAAAAAAGAAAAGAAAACATAAAATTAACCATTTTAAACTGTACAATTCGGTGGCTTTTAGTACATTAATGATGTTACACAACCATCACCACTATCTAATTCCGCTATCCAATTCTATTTTCATCATCCCAAAAAGAAACCTGTACTACTTATTAAACAATCACTCCCCACTCCCCTTTCCCCCAGCCCCTGGAAACCACTAGTCTACTTTCTGTCTCTCTGAATTTGTCTTTTCTGGACATTCCATATAAATAACATCATACAACATGTGGCTTTTTGTATTTGGCTTCTTTCACGTAGCATAAACTCTTCAAGGTTCAGCCATATTATGGGACTTATCAGAACTTCATTCCTCTTTATGGCTGAATAATACTTTATCACATGGCTATATCCCATTATTTCGGTTTGTTTATCCACTCATCAGTTGATGGACATTTGAGCTGTTCCCACATCTTGTGTATTAAGAATAATGTTGCTATGAACATTTTTGTACAATTCTTTGTTTGAACATCTCTTTTCAGTTCTTCAGTAT
Organism: Homo sapiens; assembly: GCF_000001405.40. Classification (NCBI taxonomy): domain Eukaryota; kingdom Metazoa; phylum Chordata; class Mammalia; order Primates; family Hominidae; genus Homo; species Homo sapiens. The sequence goes on from NC_000009.12 coordinate 107,161,236, forward strand.
ACATACCTGGAAGTGGAATGATTATTCTATTCATTTTTGAATTCAATACTGAACGCCTACTCTCTGCGAGGCATCAGAGTACAGAGAGGAATAAGACAAAACCCCTCCCTCCCCTCAAGTAAACTTCCTCCATGTTTTCTGCATGCTATTCATTTGTTCAACAAACACATGCCAGGCACTGGGAGTATATCCGTGATCAAGACAGACAAAGGTCCCAGCTGTCACAGAGCTCACAGTTGAGTGAGCAGATGGGAAGGAAGCAAGTAAACAGATGAACAAATAAGATAATTTCAGGTGACAGTGCAAAAGGACTACTTTTAGCTGGATGGCCAGGGATGGCCTCTGTGATAAGGTGACATTTGAGCTGAGATCTGAATAACAAGGAGCCAGTCATATGAGGATCCACAGATAAAGCCATGAGAACGTGGCAGGGGAAGAGCATTCTGGACAGAGGGAACAACAATTGCAAAGGCCCTTAGGGGGGTGAATTTGACATATTCAAAGAACTAATATTTGCTGTCATTCGTAGCCCTCCCTTCCTGCCTCCTTCCTGTGCAGCCAAAGCCTAATCCATGTCTGCCCACTCATGGACTTTACTCCATCTGCCACATCCTATCTTTTCTGTATTTCTTACCTCTCCCTCTCTACTGGTCTCCTTTCAGCCATAGTTAAATTAATCTACCCTTCAGCCAACAAAACTGGAACCCTTTATGGTTCTCTCTGGCCATTGTACCATCTTTTTTCTTCTCTTTACATTGGAGCATATCAAAAGAGTAATATACACTTGAATTACCACTTTTCTACTCTTTGCTATTCTTCAACCTTCAGCTATGTGGCTTCAACCCCTACAAACTCATGGACACTATTTTCCTCAAGGTCTCCTCTTGTTTGTAAAATCTAGTGCACACTCCTTAACTTAATTAACTCTTAATTATGATGGATACTCTTGAGTACTTCTGCTCTTGAAACTTCATATTCTATGGGTATTAAACCTCACTGTCTTGCTCCTCTTCCTAAGTCTTCCTTCCATGTATCTTTTCTGCTGCCCACTTATCAAATGTCAGTGTACCCAAGGCATATTTTAGCCTCTCTCACTCTCATTCTAATCCTTCTGAAAGTGACACCAACCAAACAGTCATGGTTTTAAATACACTGCATCCTCATTATTCAAGAATTTCCCTACTCACTAAAATTTATTTGTAACCACAAATCAATACTCTGGGCAGTGTCATGGTCATTCATGAACATGAACAGAGCAGCTAACGCTGGACAAGGCAGCACTCCTATTTTAGCTTTTATACTGCAAACAGCTATCCTTTCATAATCTATTTAGGACCCCCCCCCTCCTTTTTTTTTTTTTTTTTTTTTTGCATTTGTGTGCATTTTGTTGGTGATTTCACTGTTCAAGATGGCCCTCAAGCACAGTGTTGAAATGTTGGCTAGTGTTTCTAAGTGCAAGATGATTATGATGTCCTTACAGAGAAAACATATGTATTAGAAAAGCTTCAGTTAGGCATAAGTTATAGTGTTGTTGCCCATGAGTTTAATGTTAGTGAATCAACAGTATATATTAAATAAGGCATCTTTAAATGGAAACACACTTAAAACAAGGTTATGCACTGATTAGTTGATAAAAATATTATGACCAAAGGCTCACAGGAACCTAACCCTATATTTCCCCTAGGAGCAATGGCTCAATGTTCACTAATTCAGTGTTTTTGGTGACTTTGTAGAACATAACTACCATGAATAAAGAGAACCAACTATACAATCCAAACCACAATGTCCCTAAGGGCATTTTATCTTCTGCCCAAACTTCTCATCTTTTGTAAACCCAAATATTCAGTTGCCTACTGAACAATTCTCCTCAATTGTCACAAAACACTACAATTAGCACATGGAAAGCTAGACTTGCATCTTCATCCCATTCTTTCCCCAACTAACCTAGTCACCTTCCTAGTTTCCTTGTCTCTGCTAATGACCTATCTAACCAGTGACTTCAGCCACCACCCCAGAGTCCTCCTCACTGTCCCATCTCCCAAATCTCTACATTGAAGCAGTCTCTAAGTCTTCTGCATTCTTCCTCCCATGTCTTGAGTCAGTCTTCTCTGTCCCATTACTCTTGCTTCTGCCTCGCAAGAGTACTACATGCCTGCCAGACTACTATCATCCTTGGATTTCTGAAGGGCCTCCTACTTCTCCCCTTCTAATCAAGGCTTCATCTTTCTGCCAGAATTATCTTTCTACCATGCCAATTCAATCCTGTTGGATTAATCCTACAGTTTAAAATCTTTACTGGCTTTCTATTGCAAACAATGTCAAGTCCAAACTCCAGCCTGGCATAAAAGGACTTCCCTCAGCTGGGCTCTGACTACCCCTCCTGCCACCTCTCCAGCTGATCCTCACATCATCTTTTCTCTAGCAGAAATAAATTTCTTTGCTGTTTCCTAAGCATTCTATAGTTGCACATTGTTCTCTCTGCCTCTAATATCCTTTCTCTGACTTGACCTTCCTTTCTGATATACTGTATCCTCTTAGAAGCCTTCCTATTCTTTTCCTCACTCCCACCAGACTGAATTAAATGCAGTCTTTTGTCTTCTCCAAACTTAAGTGGGTTAGCAATTACCTTTACTGTTCTGCAAGAGAGGATGGGCACATGTCTAGTTACTTCTATATCCCCAGGGTGGCACTCTTCCTACAAGGTATACTCTTGGACAAAAATGTTAGCTCCTCTGAGCTGCAAATTCACTTTTGCAAAAATAAATTAGTCCTACCCTCCTCAAATGGCTCTTGTAAAAACAAAATGAACAATGCAAACAAACAAAAACAAACAAAAAATTGCCCAGAATTTAGACCAAAAAAAAAAAAATTCAAATCTTGCTAGTACTTTTGACTCACACATTTCAGCAAGAATTCCCCATCACCATCCAACTATGCTCAAACAGCTTCTCTCCAAGACCTCTTTATTTTCACCAACACCATCCAAATTATTCACACTCTAAACCTGTCTTTTCCCCATTTCTGCCTATATTCATTTGTTGTTCATGGAGACTTGTTGAATTTTTCTTTCATATTTCTAGTAACATCTTCCTGTCCATTTCCAATGCCACCTGTCCTACTTTGAGAACAAATGGACTCAGTCTTGTATTATTCCTTGAAATCTTCACTGGTCATCCTGCTCCCACTTCGCCCAATCCTCTCCGTTCCTCCTGGTTCTTCAAGCTGCACCATGGCCAGAAGCTCCCTGTCTACTCACACAGGAGTGAAATGTGCAGGGGTGTGATGGGAAATAATTGAGTGTCAACTTGATTGGACTGAAGGATGCAAAGTATTATTTCTGGGTGTGTCAGTGAGGGTGTTGTTCAAGGAGGTTAATATTTGTGTCAGTGGACTGGGAAAGGCAGACCCACCTCAACCTGGGTGGGCACAATCTAATCAGCTGCTAGCACAGCCAGAATAAAAGCAGGCAGAAGAATATGGAAAGACTAGACTGGCTGAGTCTTCCAGCCTACATCTTTCTCCAATACTGTATGCTTCCTGCCCTTGAACATTGGACTCCAACTTCTTCAGCTTTTGGACTCTGGGACCTTCAACCACAGACTGATGGCTGCACTGTCAGGTTCCCTACTTTTGAGGTTTTGGGACTCAGACTGGCTTCCTTGCTCCTTAGCTCGTAGACAGCCTATTGTGGGACTTCACCTTGTGATCATGTGAGTCAATACTCCCTAACAAACTCCCCTTTATATATACATCTATCCTATTAGTTCTGTCCCTCTAGAGAACCCTGACTAATAAAATGGGCTAATAAATTGAAAGCAGTCCAACAATCATGACAAAAGAGTGTTGCTTGATGACTTCCTGAAGCTGGAGAGATTCTCTTTTTCCAGGTATCCAGTTCAACATTTGGCCAACGTTGTGCATGAGTTACAGAGAAGTGATGTAAACCAAATTGCATACAACAAAAAGTCAGAGGAAAAGCAAATACAACAGGTGTTTTTCCAACCTTCCAGAATGTTGAGTAAGAATGGATAAAATGTTGTGAGTAATGACAAATTCACTTTTTATTCATATTCCAAAAATCAAATACTAGACCAGGGTGCTCATGCTTAAAAACATTAAGAGCTCTAACCAAGTCAAGCCAGTAACTAGGAATACAGGCACATGCCACCACACCCAGCTAATTTTAAAAAACCTTTTGTAGAGAAGGGGTCTTGCTATGTTGCCCAAGCTGGTCTTAAACTTCTGGCCTTATGTGAACCTATAGTGTAATATGACTACTGAAAAAAAAGTGTGTCTCATGAGCATGGTGTTGCAAACTCAGGAAGTAATTGACCTATTGTGTTCAGCTCCAAGCAGACAATATCTGGAATGTATGGGACCACATTTGAAGAGGAACGTTGGCCAATTGCAAGATAACCTTGAATGAGCAATCAAAATAAAGAAGGGTGAAAATATCAACAATGGAACACATACAGCACCATTTATTTCAAAATTGTAGAGGAAGCCTCAGATGAATCTGTGTTACATCATTATACTAAAGGCCAATTTTCTTCAACATCAGTAAAAAGCAATCATTTGAAAGACAGATAATATGAAGAGTCACTTTGGCTGGCTTAAACTTAGCACCTTGCTCTTGCCTGTAACTCATTGCAATTGCTTCTTCCTTTGGGTAAATAGTCATTCAGTTATTTTTTTTTTAATTTAACTGAAAATGTAAAAAAAAAAAAATCAACCCTGTTGTCAATCAGACTGTAATAAATAATGTTTCTACGCAAACAGAGTCAAAGCCACATTAGAGATAAAAAGTTACCTCTGGGAGATTACTATTATTACTTTTTTTACCAACGACATCCCAGTCCCATTTTGTTCTTCCTGCTTCCTCAACAAGAATTTCTCAGATACCAAGTTGCTGAATTGTCCTCACATTCTAATAACATCTAATACAAAACTGGCTCTTGTTTCTCTAGTTTTTCCCTTACAGTCACCTAGCCTAAACCCAAATCCTTCAATAAGCCCCTCCAATGCCCTCTTGTTGAGAAACCACGTGCTCTTCCTTACTGCAGCAAGATCAATAAACCTACACGTGTTTGACTATAGGTGTGTTCCTCGCAGTCTTTGACTAGTAGGCTTCAATACATCAAATATTTATTGAGCATCTACTATGTGCTAGGTACTGTACTAGGTGATGAGAGAAAGTAAGGAGTTGATTACAGATAAGAAAATGGAGGAATCTGGGACAATTCCAGAGCAACTGATGACAAGAATGGAAAAAAGAAATGAGGAACTAACCCTCATTTCTTGAGCCAACTGTGTACAGGGCAACTAGCCTTCCCTTATCTCCCACTGCAGGTCCCCGCTGGGTAGACACAGACTCTGTACCAAGTGGCACAGAATAGGGGTAGACAGCAGCCCCAGGTGGGAACTGTCTTTTAGACTAGGAGCCCTTGACTTGTGTGGCCTTTATCGAAAAATGATGAGTTAGGCCTATTATATTCCTACGTAGGATGTTGAGCTAAAATTCACATAGGCCAGTTCCAGCTGACAATGAAGTCAAACCGACTACGAAGCATTACCCATCTGTAGAGGGAACTGGGTGGCCATTGTGAACTATCTGCAACTGAAGGAGGAGAAAACAGATCAGCGGACAGTTGAGACTAGAGGTCATGTGCAGAGAGCATCAGAGATGTCTTAAGTGAGGTCATGAAGCCCTCAAGAGATAGAGCAGCCTTTTTGTGCAATGATATTCCCATTCACATATGCATGGGGCCCGAATGAACTTGGGTTCCTGTCTTGAGTCTCATGTGGCCTGTCTTCACAGTTGGTACCCCTTTTGTTGAACTAGCTCTTATTGCCACATTAAGAGCCCTAACCAACTCAGGAAAGAACAAGAGATCTTTTCTTTTTTGGGGGCAGGGTCTCACTCTGTCACCCAGGCTGGAGTTCAGTGGTATAATCATGGCACACTGCACCCTTGAATTCCTGGGCTCAAGTGGCCCTCCCACCTCAGCCTCTCAAGTAGCTAGGACTACAGGCACACGCCACCACACTCAGCTAATTTTTAAACATTTTGTAGAAAAGTGGTCTTGCTATGTTGCCCAGGCTGGTCTCAAACTTCTGGCCTCAAGCAAACCTCCCCTCTCAGTTTCCCAAAGTGCTGGGATTACAGGTGTGAGCCACCACACCCAGCTGAGATTTTTAAACATTACAAGACTAGTAATCTAAAAAAAATAAAGGAGAATGAAGGGAAGTAGAGTTCATACAGCACCCTCTGAGTTTAGCATGGAACCATCCAGGGACCGGAATAGATGATGAAGGCAGGAAGAGGTTGATGGTGGAACTAGTGTCATACTAGATGGTATCAAGCCTCGTTGCTGCCATTGTCTTGCTTTTCAAGATGTAGCTTGGGAGTCAGCTCTCTGGGGAAGCCTTCCCTTGCGTCCTCCAGTCTGACATGAGAACTTTCTTCCCATGTTCTGACAACACCTTGGTTTACCACCTCAAAGCCCTTACCACTCTGCGTTCTGATTACTAAAATTATTTCTGTCTGAATGTCCTCTAGCCCAGTGGTTCTGAACTGGGGGCAAGTTTGCCCCCTCAAGGGCTACTTCACAATGTCTGGAGGCATTTTGCTTGTCATAACTGGGTGAGGGGAGTTAGTGCTGATAACCATCTAACAGGACACAGGACAGCCCTCAACAGCAAAGAATTACCTAGCCAAACATGTTAATAGTGCTGAGTTTGAGAAACCTTGCTCTAGGTCAGCACTATTACTTTTGGTGACGATAGAAATGTTCTGTTATGTGTGCTGTCCAATACAGTAGCTGCTGACTGCCTGCAGCTACCATGCACTTCACAAGTGCAGATGAGGAGCTTTTTCTTTTTTTGAGACAGGGTCTCACTCTGTTGCCCAGGCTTGGAGTGCAGGGGTACGATCCCAGCCCCACTGCAGCCTCGACCTCCCAGGCTCAAGCGATCCTCCCAACTCAGCCTCCCAAGTAGCTGGGACTACAGGCACGTGCCACCATGCTTGACGTATTTTATTTTTATTTTTTGTAGAGATGGGGTCTCCCTGTGTAGCCCAGGCTCGTCTCAAACTTCTGGGCTCAAATAATCCTCCTGCCTCAGCCTCCCAGAGTGCTTTAATTTTTTTTATTTGTATTTAAGTTTAACTACAGTCATGTGTCACTTAACAATGACAACACATTATGAGAAATGCATCATTAGGTGATTTTTGTCATTGTGAGACCATCCTAGACTGTACTTAAACCTTGATAGTATAGCCTACTACACACTTAGACTATGCAGTGTAGCCTATCGCTACCAGGATACAAATCTGAGCAGCATATTACTGTACTGAACACTGTGAGCAACTGTAACACAATGGTAAGCATTTGTGCATCTGAACATATCTCAACCTAGAAAGGTACAGTAAAAATACAGTATCATCATCTTATGGAACCACTATCATATATGTGGTCCTTAACTGACGAAAACATCATTATGTGGAGTCTGACTGTCATTTGAATTTTTTTTTTTTTTTTCTGAAACAAGGTCTCGCTCTGTCACCCAGGCTGAAGTGCAGTGGCTTGATCTCGGCTCACTACAACCTCCACCTCCTGGGTTCAAGCAATTCTCCTACCTCAGCCTCCTGAGTAGCTGGGATTACAGGCACCTGCCACCATGCCTGGCTAAGTTTTGTATTTTTAGTAGAGACGAGGTTTCATCATGTTGGCCAGGCTGGTCTCAAACTCCTGACCTCAGGTGATCTGCCCGCCTCAGCCTCCCAAAGTGCTGGGATTACAGGCGTGAGCCACCACGCTTGGCCTTGTAATTTGAATTTAAATGAGCACTTGTGGCTAGTGGCTACAGTGCAGCTCAAGCCTCTCCTTTCTACTACTCCCAGAGGCCACTCCTGTCTCTCCGCAGCACTTGCTATAGCTACATTTTTACACTTGTGTGAGCATTTGATCGTTTATCCCCCTCAGTAGATTGGAAGTTTTCTGTGGGCAGGAAACATGCTAACTTGTTCACCTCTCTATTTTGTTTTTTGTTTTTTTCTTTTTTTCCGGGGGGTGGACTTTAGTCTTTATTTACAGGACACTGCGAGATATAAAATTCCACAAAGAAATAAGAAACCCATTCAGAGGACAAGCTTTATACGGTATTTACAGGTTGGAACTGTTCAAGTATAGTTTCAGTGTAAAAAGTGCTACAATACCAAACCATATTTAAAAAGAGTTCTTTGTAGAGAAACAGTACTTATACAAACATAGTAGAGAAACAAACTTATACCAAACATAGTACACAACAAATTTATGCCTCAGCTATGTGATCTACAAGTTAAAAGTTCCCAGGAGTCCCATCCTGAACTTGGAAGGTATAGCCTTCAGAGGTAGTTTCTGGCACCATGTTTTCATCTTCCTCTTCCTCTACAGAGAAATACTTAATTAAGCTTAACAAAGCCTTATACACACTCATTTTCATGATTTTGGAGAGCTTCAATTTTGTCTAAGCCTCCACATTCTTCAATCATTATACTAAGTTTCTCAGTTTCACCTAGTTTCTCAGCAGCCTGAAAGATACTTGAAATGGCATCCAGGATAACCAGAATAACCTTGGTATCTTTACAGTTAAGAAGTTCATCAATGGTTCTATTATGCCACAATGAATGAGCTACACAATCTGTTCAACTGTTTCGCCACTGGTATAGTTGGTCACGGCCCATACAGCTTCCTTTTGTGTCTTAAGATCTGACTTAGAACATTGGCAAGGAATAGGACTAATCCATGATTCACAACTTGCTGTATCTGGTCCTGACGGCCAGCTGTGATGTTTGACATTGTCCACATAGCTTCCTTCCAAGTGTTAGTTTTGGGGTCGGTGAGCAGGCTGGGAAAGACAGCAAGTGCCTCTGCATCGATCACAACCTGAGTCTGTTCACCTGTACCAGTGACAATATTCCCTATGGCTCTTAGTGCAGGAGTCACAATTGGCAATTCAGAAGCTCCTAGAAGCTTCACAAGTTGGGGCACAACTCCTGTTTCCATGACAATGTCAATTCATTCATTTGGACCATCAGTCAGGTAGGAAATAGCCCAGCAGGCATCTGCTAATAGTTCTGGATCATCATGATGCAGGAGCCGAACTCAGATAGGAAGAATTTCCTCAACAGCATCTAACCGGGGTGCAGGATTCTTGTTGCAGCAAAGATTTGAAAGTGTCCAGGTAAGATTACATAAGTAACCACATGCTAAAGATGACATATCAGGAACTGCAAGAAGAGCCAACAGTGGGTCAACGGCACTGTACTTAGTAATCAAGTCTCGGAAAACTGAGCTATATCACCTGCAATGTTTCCTGGAGCCGATACAACTTGTTCACTGATGTGAGCATGGGGAGATGCCAACAGAGAAATGAATGCTAGGATGGCACCTCCATCTACCACAACCTTGGCTTGTTCTGATTCCCAGAAGCAATGTTAGTGAGCATCCAGGCAGATTCAAACTGAATGGGACTACAATCAGTTCTGCCTAAGAAAGACACAAATTTTGGAATCAAACCAGCCCAGATTAAGTTGTCTTTGTGGGGCGGGGGGTGGTGGGGGGCGGGGGCGGGGCTGTTTTCCTCTAGAAAGTAGTTTCCTGGCAGCTTGAGTAGCTTGGAGCTAACTTTCCACATTGTTGCTATTTATGCCTTTGACAATGTCATCAACACACTAATTTACAGTGCCCTGATTGTTGTGGTTTTTCTGCAGCGGACAAGTAGCATCATCAGGAAATGAGCTTACATTTCTCCTCTTCAGCATCTGGTCATTCTTAGCTTTCCCCAGCTCCACATTGACTTCTATTCTGTGACACCTCATTTCTGTACTGTCTTTTCCCTTGTTCTTGAATCTGTTAAGTCGGGCAGCTGGCTTCACCTTTCTATTTCAGATGCCTAGTACAGGGCCTAGTACTAGATAGGTTCTCAGTATACATGTGTGAAATGAAAGCATAGCCAAAGGATGAATGGCAAGCCAGGGAGTATGTTAGTGAGAGTTCTCCAGAGAAACAGAAGAAATGGGATATTTTACATATACATATATGCACATAATATACGTATTTTATATATACTATACATATTTATATATATTACACACACACACACACACAAAGGGATTTATTTTAAGGAATTGGCCATGTGATTGTAGAGGCCGAGAAACCTCCAGATCTGCGGGGTGAGTTACCAAACTAGCAATGCGAGAGAGCTGATGGTGAGCTTCTAGGGGGAAGACTGACAGGCTTGGGACCCAGACAGAGCCATTGTGCAGTTTGAAGAAAGTACTTAGGTAGGAAGAAGTCTCTTTTACTTGGAGGAAGGAGAGCCTTTTGTTCTATTCAGGCCTTCAACTGATTGGATGAGGTCCATCCACATTAGGGAGGGCCACATCTGCTTGACTGAGTCTACAGATTTAAATGCTAATCTCATCCAAAAACACACTCTGAATAATGCTTGACAAAAGCACCCTGAATAATGTTTGACCAAATATCTGGGCACACCACGGCCCAGACAAGTTGACACAAAACTGACCATCACAGGGGGTGACAATTTTTCTTGCTGAGTTTGTGTTTAGGTAAAACTTTACTATAATTAGGCAAATAGTTTAAAGTTTTTTTTTCAAAGGACTTAGGGACCCTAAATTTGGGTGGGCTTAGCCCTGATCTCTTTCCCTGAAAGAGACAGGAAGGAGCAAAGAAACAGTGTAAATCTATCAACCCTGGTTCAGCCCGTGGTGTTCCTCATGGGACACTGAATTCCACAGTGGCTGCTGGGGTGATGGGCTGCCATGACCTACTCAGGTATAAAGTGGGAGTGAGAAGATCACCAGGGGCTGGGGACCATGTCCTTAAAATTCTGGACCATGAAACTCTTGGTCCCTGGTCATTTCTAGATATGGTCATTGCTAACCCTCAAATTGTTGTTTTGCATAAAAGCGAATGTGTTTTCATAAACAAGAGGGTTTGCTATTTCAAAAACTCAAAGACTCTGCCCTTCTAGCTCAGAAAGCTACCATCCTAAGTCCACCTCTGATGCTCATGCTCTTTATGCATGAGACCAAAGGACTGTGGCACACTCCTGCCACCTGGTGGCAACATATGAAAAGTCATGCAAAGGCTTAACCCTGAGGTTCTGATTTGGCCAAAACACAAGACAGAAAGAGCATGCTTGGAGACTTGCATTAGTGCAACAAAATTATAAGTTAATAGGACCATAAACCTGGAAAGAAAAGTAGTGATTACTGAGTTCAACTATCTCAGTTTCCAGATGAGGAAACTAAGGTTTAAAAATACTTTGTGACTCACTTAAAGATATTTCAGAGCCATGGCCTCATCTTCTCCCATCAAGTGCAATTTCTCCTTTAATCCACCTCTTTAAAAAATTTCCATACTTAGGGCAACTGAAGGCTTGATTAATTGGCAGAATGGTGAGCAATTAAATACAATTGTAAAATAAACCAAAGGGACTAATTTCTATTACGACTCCTGTTTTGTAATGAGCAAAGGTCTTTGTACATACACTTGCTCAGAAGTGACAGTTCTGCCAGAGATGGTTTGCAATGAACTTGCTCTTTCAGTTTGAACAGAGATAGACGTGCATCAGCAAAACCAAGTAAGTGATCACTCCTCTCTATAGGAATAGGATATCACCTTTTCATTTTCATGGATCAAATATGGACTAAATGTTGCTATGTTTTGCTAGCCGCTGTGCTAAGTGCTGGGAATACAATGAGGAGAAAACCAGAAGAGGTTTTTGCTTTCATGGAGCTCACAGTCTGATAGGGAAGACAGATGAGTTAAAATGCAACTACAGTTATGCATCACATAAGGACATTTGAGTCAGTGAGGGACTACGTATACAACAATGGTCCCATAAGATGATAATGGAGCTGAAAAAATCCTATCTAGTGATGGCATAGCTGTTGTAATGTCATTACACAAACGTTTGTGGTGATGTTGCTGTAAACAAATCTACCGTGCTGCCAGTCATATAAAAATGTACAGTAGCCGGGCGCCCTGGCTCACGCCTATAATCCCAGCACATTGGGAGGCCAAGGTGGGTGGATCCCTTGAGGCCAGAAGTTCGAGACCAGCCTGGCCAACATGGTGAAACCCCATCTCTACTAAAAATACAAAAATTTTCCAGGAGTGGTGGTGTACACCTGTAGTCCCGGCTACTCAGGAGGCTGAGGCACAAGAATCGCTTGAACCCGAGGGGGCAAAAATTGCAGTGAGCCGAGATTGTGCCACTGCACCGCAGCCTGGGCAACAGAGTGAGACTCTGTCTCAATAACAACAACAACAAAAGTATGGTAATATCCTAGGCTTTCACACTCACTCACCACTGACTCACCCAGAGTTGCAACTTCCAGTCCTGCAAACTTTATTTGTGGTAAGTTCCCTATACAGCTATACCATTTTTTATTTTTTATACCACATTTTTACTATACCTTTTCTATGCTTAGATAAGTTAGATGCATACATACTTACCATTGTGTTACAGTTACCTACAGTGTTCAGTACAGTAACATGCTATACAGGTTTGCAGCCTAGGAGCACTAGGCTAAACCATGTAGCCTAGGTGTATAGTAGGCTGTATCGTCTAGGTTTGTGTAAGTACACTCTAGGAAGTTTGCACAACAATGAAATCACATAATGACACATTTCTCAGAACGTGTCCCTGTGGTAAAACTATGCATGACTGTGCTGTGCAAGGTGGTAATGAAAACACTGTATGTGGGACTAGGGATAAGAGTTGAGCTAGGACTGGAGAAGACAGCTGTCAACAGAAACAGAATCAACCATAGTCCCTGGTACTAGACAGGGAGCAGTGTCTGATGGAGCCAAATTCCAAATGTGGTTGATTGTTCAGAAGTGACAATTCTGCCAGAGATGGTTTGCAATGAACTTGCACTTTCAATTTGAAACAGAGATGGATGTGCATCAGCAAAATCAAGGAAGTGATCACTCCTCTCTACAGGAATAGGATATCACCTTTTCATTTTCATGGGCCCAATATGGACTAAATATTGCTATGTTTTGCTAGCTGCTGTGTAAGGTGCTGGTGCAGACCAGCCAAGTATACAATGGCTGCACTGCCAGACTGGAGAGTCCAGTGGGAGTTGGCATCAAGAAGACCCATACAGCCCATTAGGCTGCTTGGCTATGGGGGGCTGGCCCCTGGCATGCCACGTGCTGGGTGTGGTAGTCACCAGAAATAGACAGAGGGGCAGAAGGAGGCAGTAGCAGAGGCTGGACCGCTGAGTCCCTGCTTGGGAAGCCCCACAGCCTGGCTGAGGAAGACAGTGTTCATGTACACCCTGCTTCTGTCGGGATTGGCCCAGGGACTTGCGCTAGGCTGAGCCAGCAGGGAGTGGGGCTGCCGGCACAGGCAGCCTCTGTGGTGAGGGCACCAGCAGGGCCCAGATGGAAACTCTGACCGTGGTGTTAATTCATTCCTCTGTGGTTTTCTGTTCAGGCAAATACCAGTCTCTTGTGGGTTTGTTTAGCTTAAAGCTATTGGCTGTTGGGGCTAAGGCTCTACATCCTTGATTTCCAAGTCCCTGATTGGCCAAGTTTAAAGGAAGGGATGATCAAGTTGTTGGCTACTGGGAAGGACATAAAGCTTCGGAGAGCAGTTGAGGAAACCCTACTAATTTCCCCCCGACCTGAGGTACAACCCGGCCTGGAAATGCATTCTGTCCTGCTCATAATACAACACAAGCGTGTGAGGTTTCAGGGTAGGCAGTGAGCCTGTGTCCTCTCACATGTCTAATGCAACATCTTCTTGGGGAGAATATTGACTCTTCCAAGTGGAAAGCTGGCCTGGAGCCTCCTAGGAAAGGTGGCAGATGGAGCTTGGTTGATTCATGATACCATAGCGTCTTGTCCGTTTGTTGGATTGAGTATCCCCTGAAGAACTTTCCACACCCAAACCTGCCCTGGGACATTCAGTTCAACCCTCTGCAGTGAACTTTGGCCCAAATAGCAAGAGATTTGCTTCCACCAGGGCTTGGCCACAGACCAGCCGTGTGACTCTGAGATAATTCTCACTCTGTGACTCAATTTCCTCAGCTACTCTTGAGATAATTTTCAACACCGAAAAGAACAACTATTGCTGTAGCCAGAAATAAAAACTAGATATTAGTTATGCTAGATATTAAATGCCATCCAAGAGACAGTAAATTTAAGGGCCCCAAAGTGGTTTCAGGTCTCTGAGAGGAATTTACTCCCCAGCTTTGGAGAAGAAGCTAAGTGCTGTCCTTCTATTTCTGTCCTGCATTCAAAAAGTCATAAATAGTTAACTGTGTGAGTCCTTTTTTAAAACCTCCCAGAAGCATCTAAAAATAGCCTCTGGGGGCTCAATGCATATTTCCTCAGGTCCTCCTCTTAATCTTTCAGTATAGGTGGTGACGATTTATTGTTACTGTCACCTATGGATTTACAGAAACAAAAGCAGCTAGGCTGGAAGGCAAAGAGAGGAAGCTTTTCGTGTGGGAAGGGTCTCTTGGGAAGTGGAACCTAGCATCAATACAGGGATGAGACATGTCACCTCTCCTTTCCTTGGTTTCCCTGCTAGTAAAAGGGGAGAGAAGGAGAAGTCTGTCTCCCCAGGGTGCAGTAAGAATCTACCCTCAAGTAGGAAGCTTCAACAGACAAAGCAGAACCTGCCAACAGCCAAATGCTATTATGACAAGTCAAGTCCACACTCATTACATGCCTTTGCAGTGCATGTCACCCCTGCCGTTTCCTATCTCCAGGCCCAAGTGGGGCCCCTTCTGCCAGTTTTCCAGCCCAGTGGCATGACCGGAGGCTGACTGTCCATCATGAGCTTGATGGACAAGGGACAGGAACAGCCAAGCCCAGCTCAGCTACCTGCCTGTTCTTTTCAACCATGCCTCTGCTTCCCTTATGCTTAACAGCAGCATATAGCACCCCTCTCTGACTCTCAGCCATCTCCTTCAGGCAGGCATCCTTGCAAACAGACCATCAGCCCAGGGCGCTCCTATGGACTTAGAAGGAAGGATAGGGCAGGAACATTCCTGGCGGCCTCCGTGGCCTTGGTCCTCTCTCCTAACAATGCACAGTAATTAGCTGCATCTCGGGCCCCCTGACACCCCTTAACCTGGAAAATCAGGCAGACTTGTGCGACAGCAATCAGCTCCCAGACACATCCAGCCGTAATGTGATTACGCCATTTACCAAAATGCAAAGAGAGATACTTGAGGCGTTTCTGATTAGGGCTGACATTATCCCTCTAATGGGACACCGCATTAATCAAAGCTGTTGCTATGACTATGGCGATGGTGGGGAAATAACCCCAGCTTGATTCTGGG
Source organism: Homo sapiens (assembly GCF_000001405.40). Lineage (NCBI taxonomy): Eukaryota > Metazoa > Chordata > Mammalia > Primates > Hominidae > Homo > Homo sapiens. The sequence goes on from NC_000009.12 coordinate 107,176,609, forward strand.
CCTACCCAATGCCGCCAAGGAAGAGGTCAGCTTTTGTTAGGGACATAGCAGAAGAATTGCTTCTTCCTGCTTAAGAAGGGCTTTCTATTGAAATCGCACCAGCAGCCAGAAAGACAGGCCTCTGTTTTCTTTCATTACACTGGGATTTTCTGGTGCCATTGCTCAAGATGACTCGATAGCATTGTTCTGGGAGGGACTGGGATGTGCGTGTGTTGGGGGTGGGGATATGGAGGCTGATTTGTGGGGCTGTCAGAGCCTTCTGCTCTCCAGAACTGTATCTTAATTGCTGGGTGGCCCCCTGGGAATCATGTAGGGCATGAGAACCTGGGGGCGGGGGAGAAGGATGATCTGTGGAAAAGCCCAGCTTTTCCCATGGCATAAACACTCTGGGCTTCTGCTGCTTTCTCCATTCCAGAGCCACTAAAGCATTTGGCAGAGACAAGCCTGCACCACACACCCTATGACAAGGCAGATGGAAAAACAGGCGGGAATGAAATGGATCTGAAAAGCCTGTGTGGAAAACCCCCTGGCCTCTACTCCGGGCTGTGGAGAACCCATGAACTACAGGGGAGGGCAGGGGGAGACCAGGTGATGGGGGCTGGGGATGGGGTCATCAGAACCCCATGATGGCTAGATAGAGGTAAACTGTTCCAAACACCCAAGGCAGCCTTCGCTCCGGTGCAGATACTGAAAGGGAAATAGAGGTCAGTGATGTGGCATAGCTCCTCCCCCCAGGACAGGGATAGAGCAGTGGAGAAGAATCAAGGAATCTGGTTCTAGTTCAAGTCCTTTCTGGAATTTTCTCTGAGCTTGGTTTTCCCATCATCAGAGTGGGGTCAATGAAATCTACTCTGCTGTCCTCATAGAGGTGTAAAGGTCGGTCAGACCACTTCCTCTGGGGGAAAGTGATTTGTGAACTCTGGAGCACAGATATTCAAACTTGGCTGCATTTGGGAGTCACCTGAAGAGGTTTTTGAAGTTCTGAAGCCGGGGCCCCAGCATCAGACGTTCTGGTTTCATTGGTCAGAGAGGCGGCAGGGTGTGGGGATTTTTCAAAGCTCCAGGGGATCCTCATGCACAGCCCAGGTTGAGAATCACTGCTCACAAGTGCTGTAGGGAGCCGTGCCCTGCCTTTGAGCCTCATTTCCTATATTTTTTAATGAGAATAAAAATTTTTTAAAGTAAAAGGCTTTCATGGGAATAAAAGGAAAAAAAAATGTATGTGAAAATGCATAAAGTCGTATATCCTGGATTCCTAATTAATGTTCAGTTCCCTCATTAGAGGCCATTGCCTCTGTTTCAGGGGAGTCTCGTCCCCAGGGTGAGACCCTGGACAGCACCTTCCCTCTTAGCTGTGTGACTGTGTTCAACTGACTGAATAACAGCAAGCATTTACAGCACCTGAAGCCTTTCACATGCTTGATCTCACTTAATTATAGCAATAACCTGGGGAGGCGGGCAGAGATCATTGTTACCACCCTGTGAAGCAACATCATAGGTGACTCAGGCAGTCAGTGGTGGAGCTGGGATTTTAGCCCAAATTTGTCTTGTTCCGAAACCGGAGTTCTTTCCATGACCTCCTTGGTTAGAACTGACCTGAGTCAATTTTGTCATTCACTATGTAGATGTAAGAGGTCTTGGGGCCGTAGGTCTCTGCATGTTGTAATGAAAGCAGGTGTCAGATAGAATTCTGCGATACAGACTTTCATTTATTAGCAAAGCAGGTGCAAAAACAGGCATGTGGCTTGCTCTGTGAGCTCAATGACATCCTGAATCATTGTCCTTTTAGGTGCCCCAGTAGATCCTCGCATGAAAGCTTCACTCAGGGCAGAGGTGACATTTTTCAGCACCACGATTCAGCTAACCTTGTCATTGAGTCATGAGAAAAAAATTAGCTGATAATCAGTCTAACAAACACAGAATCCATTGGAGTCATAAACTTATGGCACTGTTCCATTTAATAAACACAGGGAGACAAGTCAGAAGGCTACCAGAACATTCTAGCCCAGAGTTGACAAAGGCCTTTCCCAATGGCTATGGAGAGGTAGGAAAGGGGTAGGATCATTCACTGAGTCAACCAAATATGTTGAGCACTGTACTAGTTTCCTATAACAAAGTACCAAAATGAAGTACCACAAAATCGGTGGCTTACAACAGAAATTTATTTTCTTATTCTGGAGGCTAGAAGTCTGAAATTAAGATGTCAGAAGGGCCATGCTCCCTCTGACACCTCTAGGGAAGGATCCTTTCTTGCCTCTCTCCTGGCTTCCTGGTTTCTGGTGGGTGCAGCAATCCTTCGTGTTCCTTGACTCATTAATCTCCCTCTCTGCCATCACATCACATGGCTTTCTCCCTGTGTATGTCTGCACCTCTGCATCCTTTCGTCTTCTAATAAGGACATCAGTCATATTGGATTTAGGGCCTGTTCTAATTCAATATGATCTTAACTAATTATATCTTCGAAACCCTATTTTCAAATAAGGTCACATTCTGAGGTTATGCATAGACATAAGTTTGGGGCGACATTATTCAACCCAGTACGGGCACCTACATTACGCCAAGTGCTGTGAAGAAAGAAGGTAAAGGTGAATAAGCATTTTTCTGCACTTAGGTTGCTCAGCCCCCAGAGAGGGAGACAAGCAGGTTGGTGCCTATTCTGAGAGCAGTAAACACACGTTGCTGGTACAGAGCAGATGAAGCATCTCACCCCAAATTAACAGGGTCATGGAAGCAACCACTGAGCTGAATTCTGAAGGCCTGGCAGGAGGTAGCCAAGGCAAGGAGGTCAGAAAGGCAACAGAGACAGAGGGAGGGACATGTAGGTCCAAGGGTCTGGTTGTAGAGGGAGCAGGATGAGTGCATTGAGGCAAGAATGTGGGGTCTGAGATGGACAAGTGGTGATGTGTGAAGCCAAACTGTTAGGCAAGGGCAGGTCAGGAAGCATCTCATGTGCCTGTCTAAGAATTTTTTCTGTGGACCACAGGGAGCCATTGGCATAGTTTAAGCAAGGGAATATTGTAGTCATATTTGCATGTTAGAATAATCACTCTGAAGCAATGAAAAGGGTAAATTGGAAAGGTTAAGAATGTAAATGGGAAATCTCAGTAAAAGGCAATAAATAATAAGGTCCTGGCGTATGGCCACAACCATGAGGATGGGGAGAAGGGAATTGATTTAATATTTATTCAATACGAGGGAATCAGTGGATAAATCAAATGGTGGGCATGGAAAAGGAGTCAGTAATAACATCCAAGGTGCTTTGCTGTAGGTTTTTTTAAGCTCAGGTCCTGAGGTCATCCCTGAGCTATTTGGAAGTGATCAGGACAGAATGCTGGAGAACTTCAACATTTCTGAAGCAGGAGGAGAAAAACCAGCTAGTAAATAATTCAGAGAAAAAAATAGTCAAGTGACAGGAGAAATGGAATTATACATGGGGAGCATTAAGCAGAGAGCCACTGGGACCTAGGCGGAATTAGCACCCAAGTAACAATGTTAGCCCAACGAGGTGAGTCCCAGGGAAGGAAGAACTCTGGGAAGCTCAGAGACCCAGAAAGAAGGCAGAGTAGGGACAAAGACCACATAACTTTATATTAGGCAACTTTCCCAACTTGGTATTAAGCCTGGATGTCACCAAGAGCAGTGGGGTCCAGTTCATTTAACAGGGGTTACCAACTGTCAGGTTTGCCCAAGTCTGTTCCAGTTGAACCCTGAGAGCCTAACATCCTGAGAAACCTTTCTGTCCTGGGAAAACCAGGACATTTGGTCACCCTGATTAGGAAACACTTCCTGAGCATCTGCTACATGCCACGTGCTATATTGGATGATATCAAGATTAACAGTGCACAGAGCAGGCTCTTGTGCAGCCCACAGCCTGGTGGAGAGAAATAATGGTTTATAAGCTCCTAAAACCTATAGAAGAGTAGGTTGAGATTCCTCTCCTTCACTGCCAAGGGCAAGTTAAAGGAAAATGGTTTGAATATAACTTAGGCCAGGTATGAAAAAATGCTCTCTTAGCAAAATAAGGCTGTGGTGCATGTTCATAAGTGTATGTTAATAGGAGAAATATTAATTTCTTGTATCAAATTGAGAAGGGCAGAAGTTATGCTTATTCTGTTTTTTTTTTTCTATAATAAAAGAAATGTGAGTTTTCAAGATAGTTTTGTTAAAAGGATAAAAAATTTCTCTTGTAAAGTTAAGTACAGTTTGGGGCCAGAAGGAAGGGAAGATATCTACACAGGATAAAATGTGCTTGATTTTATATGCTGCAGGAAAGAACTAGTTACAGCTCAAAAAGAAAAAAACCCTGTTGAGTCTCTCTTTGGTCCCCATGTGTAGATAATTTTCCTAGGGCTGCTGTAATAAATTACCACAATCAACGTGGCTTAAAATAACAGAAATTTATTCTCTCACAGTTCTGGAGGGCAGAAGTCTAAAATCAAGGTGTCCGCAGAACTTTACTCCCTCTGGAGGCTCCAGGGAGATTCTGTTCCTTGCCTTTCCAGCTTCTGGTGGCTACTGACATCACTTGGCATTCCTTGACTTGTAGCTGCATCAGCTTCAATTTCTGCCCCCATCTTTGCACAACCTTCTTCCCCATGTTTCCTTATGTGTCCTCTTCAGTTTGTCTAATCTCCCTCTGCCTGACTCTTATAAAGGCATCTGTCATAAACTCATTGTAAGTTGAGGAGCATACTGAATGCATATCACTTTCACACTTAAAGTTGAAAAATCAAATACAGAGAGATGTCATCAAGATTGCTTACTTGAGGTGCTCTGCACTCACTTCCTCCACAAGGAAGGATGAAAATACAAATAGATAACCACATGTCAAATAAAATGTCTAAAGAAGAACACCAGAATTCAGCAAGGAAGTGACAAATACCTTTTGAGATAGAAACTCAGGACAGCAACATGAAGAGGGAAGTACAGCACCCATCCAAGATCAGCTCAGAGCCAAAAGGGACTCCCCAGTGTGGGGGAAAGGTAAGCAGGAAATCTCCAGCAGTCCACATTCTCACTTCACATGTCTGCTATCTTAGTTACACGAGAGCCCCCGCTCCCCGACCTTCACAGGCCTTAAGCCCAGTGTAAGGAGAGGCCTGGAATCCACAAGACTGCATTATTCCAGAGACCAAATTCACACAGAATCACCCCCGACTCCCCAGAACCCAGGCTGCTGCAGCACAACGTAATTTTGAGAGCAGAGCCATCACCACAGTGCATCCTGCCCTGAGGATCAATAGTCTCTGCATTTCTCCATCCCTGGAGCTCCACTGATATCCCACCACATTTACCCAGAGGGCTGCAGAGTCAAAAGACCAGCTGAAATGATCAGTACAGCCATATTCCTGGCACCAGATCCCACACAGTACCCTACCTCTTGGGGAACAGGCAGTCCAGCACAGTTAAGGAGGCTGCCCTCAGGAGAGAGGGAGCTGATGTATGCACTCTCCAGAGCCTGAGAGCCATTTACCCAAGGCCCATTGCCACCAACCCTGCTCTCTCCAGCATCAAAGCTGCCAAGCACCCATGTATAACCCCCAGGAGCCCAAGAACTGGCCTGCCCAGGGCCTGCTGCTACTGGTAACCATGCCCTCTTTAACAGGGAAACCACCATGTGCATGTGCATGCCCCCAAGGGCTCAAGGACTGGCCTCCCTGGTGTTCCCAAACCCACCAAAGCCATAACAAAGCTTCCACAAACAACCACAGCCTAGGCTGCTGAGGCACTTGCAGACACTGCTGACATTGATTATAGCCAAAGAAATTATACAGAGACTATACTACTACACCCATCCAGAATCAAAGTCAAAGCACCCTACACAATCAATACTATAGGACACATCTACAGAAAAAGGTCTTACCCTGCAAAAGCTACTCCATAATACTGGAAGAACCAAATGTTCCACCAAATGTCAGATATTAACAGAAAACAGAAAACATGAAAAACCAAGGAAACATGACATCTCTAAAGAAACACAATAATTCTCTAGTAACAGACCACAAAGAAAAGGAAACCAATGAATGCCTAGAAAGGAATTCAAAATAATGACCTTAAGGAAACTCAGTGAGATATAAGAGAACACAGATAGACAATTCAACAAAATCAGAAGAACAACTCATGATCTAAATTTTAAATCCAATAGAGATAAATATCATTTAAAAATGAGCCAAACAAAAGCTTGGAACTGAAGAACTTAATGAATAAAATTAAAAATATAACTGTCAGCTTTAACAATAGACTGGATCAAGCAAAAGTTGTTAAAATTTCTGAACTTGAAAACAGTTCTTTTGAAATAACATGACCAGAAAAAAAATAAAGAATAAAAAGAATGAAGAAAGTCTATAGGACATATAGTATCATATTAAGCAAAAAAAAAAAAAAAAAAGAAAAGAAAAGAAAAAGAAAAACACAGAAAAAACAAATTATGAGATTTCAAGAAGACACAAGAAAACACAGAGAAAACCTATTTAATAAAATAATACCTGAAAACTTCCCAAGTCTTGGGAAATATCAGGAGATGCAGATACAGTGAGCTCAAAAGGTTCCTAAATAGATTCAACCCAAAAAGATCCCCTCAAGGCACATCACAGCCAAACTGTCAAAAGTTAAAAACAGAGAGAATGCTAAAAACAGCAATAGAAAAGTATCAAGTCACATATAGGGCAGCCCCCATCAGACTAACAGTAAGTTTCTCAGCAGAAACCTTACAGGTCAAAAAAGAATGAGATGATGTGTTCAAAGTGGTAGATTAAAAAAAAGAAAAAAAAAATCCTATCAGCCCAGAATACTATATGCAGCAAAAGTATACTTCATAAATAAAGGAGAAATAAAGTCTTTCAGAAAAACAAGCAAAACTGAGGGAATTGATCACCATTAGTCTTGTCATGCAAGAAATGTGTAAAAGCTAGGCATGGTGAATCATGCCTGTAATCTTAGCACTTTGGGAGTCCAAAGCAACAGTATTGCCTGAGCCCAGGGGTTTGAGGCCAGTTTGGGCAACAAAATGAGATCCCCATCTCTTAAAAAAAAAAATTAGTTAGCCATGATGGTGTGTACCTGTGGTCCCAGCTACTCATGAGACTGAAGTGGGAGGATCATTTGAGCCCAGGCGGTTAAGGCTGCAGTGAGCCATGATCATGCCTCTGCACTCCAGACTGGGTAACAGAGTGAGACCATGTCTGAAGGAAAAAACATGTGTAAGAGAGTCGTGCATCTGGAAGTGAAAGAGCAATAGCTACAATCATGAAAACATATGACTCCCAGGTGGTCAAGAGGTTGGGATAAAAATGAAAACACAAAAAACTATAAAATCCACTGGTGGAACAGATAAACAAATGATAAAGAGAATGAAATCAAATGATACTGCTACAGAAAACCTGGCATGGCAGAAATGACACTAAAACATGGCAGAAATAAACAATAAAATTAGAAAAAAAGAACAAAGAGTATACAAAACAACCAGAAAACAACAAAAGGACAAGAATAAGTCCTCACCTATAAATAATAACTTTGAATGTCAATGGTTTAAATTCCTCAATTAAAAGATATATTCAAGCCCACCCTTATGGTCAAGAAAAAAAAGATATGTATTTATACATTTGTACATTGGCTGAATAAATTTTTTTTTAAAAAAGAAAGAAACAAACAAAAAAAACAAGACCGAACTATGTGCTGCCTACAAGAAACTCACTTCAGCTGTAAAGACAATCATGGGCTGAAGGTGAAGGGATGGAAAAAGATATTCCAAGCAACATAAATGAAAAGTGAGCAAAAGAGGCTATATTTACATTAGTTAAAATAGACTTTAAGCCTGAAAAAACACATAAGGAAACAAAGAAGGTCATTATATAATGATAAAGAGATCAATTCAGCAAGAGAATGTGACAACTCTAAATATATACGTACCCAATACTAGGGCACCTAGATATATAAAGCAAGTATTATTAGAGCTAAAGGGAGAGATAAACCACTATACAACAAGAATTGGAAACTTCAATGCACCCTGTCAGCATTGGACAGACCATCTGTGCAGAATATCATCAAAGGAACATTGAACTTAAACTGCGCTGTAGACCAACTGGACCTAACAAACATTTACAGGACATTTTATCCAATAGTTGCAGAATACACATTTTTCTCATCAGCATATGAAACATTCTTTAGGATAGACCATATGTTGAACTACAAAACAAATCTCGACACATTTTTAAAAACTGAAATCCCATCAAATATTTTTTCAGATCACGATGGAATAAATAGAAATCAATAACCAGAGGAACTTTGAAAACTGTATAAATACATGGAAATTAAACAACATGCTCCTGAACAACCAATGGGTCAATGAAAAAATTAAGAAGGAATCCAACAAATGTTTGAAACAAATAAAAATAGGAACACAACATATCAAAACCAATAAGATACAGTAAAAGCAGCACTAGGTTTATAGCAATAAATGCCTGCAGCAGAAAAGTAGAAAGATTTCAAATAAATAACCTAATGCAGAACTAAACAAAACAGAGACAAAAAATACAAAAGGTAAACAAGTGAAAAGTTGGTTTTTTGAAAAGATAAACAAAATCAACAAACCATTAGCTAGATGGCCTAGGAAAAAGAGATGTTCCAGATAAATAAAATTTAAAAAAATAAAGGAGACTTTACAATTGATACTACAGAAATACAAAGAATCATTAAAGACTATGAAGAACAAACACTTAAATTGAATCCAGTGAGATTCAAATCAGGGATACAAGGATGTTTCAACATACACAAATCAATAAATGTGATACATTGCATCTATAGAATGAAAGACAAAAACCATATGATCATCTCAATAAATGCAGAAAATTCACCTGATAAAATCCCACATCCCTTCATAATAAAAAGAGCCAACAAATTAGACATAGAAGAAACATACCTCAACATAATAAAGGCTATATATGACAAACCCACATCAAACATCATTCTGAATGGGAGAAAGTTGAAAGTTTTTCTCTTTTAAGAAATAGAACAGTTAAAAAAAACAAGCCCACTTTCACTACTCTTATTCAACATAGTACTCGAAGTCCTAGCCAGAGTCAGCCAAGTGAAAGAAATAAAGCACATTCAAATTGGAAAAGAGGAGGTCACATTGTCCCTGTTTGCAGATTATGTGACTTCATAGGCAGAAAAACCTAAAGACTCCACCAAAAATCTCTTAGAACTTACCAATTCCATAAAGTTGCAGGATACAATTTTTTTTTTTTTTTTTTTGAGACGGAATCTCGCTTTGTAGCCCAGGCTGGAGTGCAGTGGCTCAATCTCAGCTCACTGCAAGCTCTGCCTCTCGGGTTCACACCATTCTCCTGCCTCAGCCTCCTGAGTAGCTGGGACTACAGGTGCCTGCCACCAAGCCTGGCTAATTTTTTGTATTTTTAGTAGAGACAGGGTTTCGCCATGTTAGCCAGGATGGTCTCGAACTCCTGACCTCGTGATCTGCCCACCTTGGCCTCCCAAAGTGTTGGGATTACAGGCATGAGCCACCACGCCCAGCCCAGGATACAAAATTAATGCAAAAATTAGTAGCATTTCTATATACCAATAACAAACTATCTTAAAAAAATCAAAAAGTAATTTCATTTTTAGTAGCTACCAAAAAATAATATCTAGAAATTAAGCAAGAAAGTGAAAGTTCTCAACAATGAAAACTACAAACACTGATGAAGGAGATTGAGGAGGATACAAAAAAAGTGAAAAAAAAATCTCATGTTCATGAATTGCAAGAATTAATATTATTACAATAACCATACTATACAAAGATATCTATAGGTTTTATGCAATCCCCATTAAAATACCACAGTATTCTTCACAGTAATTGAAACAATGATCCTAAAATTCATATGGAACCACAAAAGAGTCCAAATAGCCAAAGCAATCCTATGCAAAGAGAGCAAAGCTGGAGGCATCATACCATATGACTTCAATATATACTACAAAGCTATACTACAAAAACAACATGCACCTGGCATAAAAACAGACACATAGACCAATGGAACAAAATAGAGACCCCAGAAGTGAACCCATGTATTTATAACCAACTGATTTTCAACCAAGGTGCTGAGAACATACATTGGGGAAAGGACAGCTTCTTTAATAAATGGTGCTAGGAAAATTATCCATATGCAAAAGAATGAAATTAGACTGCTCTCTCTTATCATATATAAAAATTAACTCAAAATGGGTTAAAGCCAGAAATGTAAGACCCAAAACTATAAAACTACTGAAAGAAAACAAAGGATATGCTTTAGTACATTGTTCTGGGCAAAGATTTTATGAGTAAGATTCCAAAAGCACAAGAAATGAAAGCAAAAATAGACCAATGTGATTATACCAAACTAAAAAGCTTTTGCATAGCAAAGGAAACAACAGTGAGGAGACAAGCTGTAGAATGGGAGATAATATTTGCAATATCTATCCAACAAGAGATTAGTATCCAAGAATATACAAGGAACTTAAACATCTCAATGACAACAAAACAAATAATACAATTTTAAAATGAGGAAATGGTCTGAATAGACATTTCTCAAAAGAAGACATAAAAATGGCCAAGTATATGAAAAAACATTCAGCATCAGTAATCATCAGGGAAATGCAAATCAAAACTAAAATGAGATATCATCTCACCCTGGTTAGAATTGTTATTATCAAAAAGATTAAAAATAAGATGAGTGTGGTGGCTTATGCCTGGAGTCTCAGACACTTGGGAGGCTGAGGCAGGAGAATTACATGAGTCCAGGAATTCGAGACCAGCCTGGGCAACATAGTGAGACCCCATCTCAAAAAAAGAGATAAAAAAAATAACCAATGCTGCTGAGGATATAGAGAAAAGGGAATTCTTATACACTGTTGATTGGAATGTAAATTAGAACAGCCATTATGGAAAACAGTATGGTGGTTCCTCAAAAAACTAAGAACTTTCAAATGATCCAGCAACCCCACTGTTGGATATTTATCTAAAGGAAAAGAAACCTGCACTCCCATGTTTATTGCAGTACTATTCACAATGGCCACAATATGGAATCGATCTAAGTGACTATCGACAAATGAATGGAGAAAGAAAATGTGATATATATATATACACAACGGAATATTATTTGGCCATTAAAAAGAATGAGTTCATGTCATTTGCAGCAACCTGGATGGAACCAGAGGTTATTGTGTTAAGTAAGCCAGGCATAGAAAGACAATTATAGCATGATCTCACTTATATGTGGGAGCTAAGAAGGGTTGAGCTCATAGAAGTAGAGAGTAGATCATAGTTATTAGAGGCTGGGAAGGGTAGTGGGGAGAGAAAATTGGGAGGGGGTCTAGTGAGAGGTTGGTTAATGGATACAATATTATAGCTAGATAGGAGGAATAAGTTCTAGTGTTCTATAGCACTGTAGGGTGACTACAGTTTATAATGTATACTTTCAAATAGAGAAGAGGATTTTGAATGTTCCCAACACACAGAAATAATAAATGTTTCAGGTGAAGAATATGCTAATTTTCATAATTTGATAATTATACATTATATATGTATATCAATAAATCACTCTGTACCCCATAATATATACATACCCCATAAATATATATAATTATTGGCTGACAATTAAAAATAAATATTTATCACTGGATTTAGGACCCACTGAGGTCATCCAAGATGATCTCATCTCAAGATCCTTTAGTTAATCACATCTACAAAGGCCCTTTTTCCAAATAAGGCCATGTTCACAGGTTCTGAGGGTTAGAACTTAGGCATATCTTTTGGAAGCTACAATTTAATTCACTACACATCCATTAAAATAATCTGAGTCAATTTTCTTTTCTTCTGTGTTGCAAGGAGCAAAGAGAAACCCCTACCCTGACATAGAGCCCACCTTCCCTTCGTCCCAGCTGTACATGAGCAGAAAAGCCATTGATAGCTTTTCTCCACATATGGTTGTCTGTACTGCTTAATCCCTTGGCTAAGGGGTAATTAGGAAGGGATACTTAAATCCAGCTTTCTCTCAGCAGGTCAAACCATATGTCTGGTCAGCACTGCATACACTGGAAAAAAATAAGCAATTTTTTTCTTCCCACAAAGATGCTGCTCACTTCCCATGCAGTGTGCCCACTCAAAGGGGGTTCCTTTTTCTGATTTGCATAAAGACAATGTATAGGCTAGGAGAGACTCTCACCATCGACATTCATGACCTCAACTGTGTTTGCCGGTGCCCAATTAGAGGTGATGGTATAAAGTACCTGCTAAAGTTGTTAGGACCATGCAAAATTTGCCAGATACTAAAAGAGATGGAGAAGGGACTGATAAAAAGCAGCGGTGACACAAGGAAGGAAACAAGGGGAACAGCAGGTAGTGAGTTAAAGGGAGTTTCTAGAAGCAGAGGGAGGGACGGAGTGGATGTAGAAGTCCACCAGACTTGGACAGCCTTATGTGAGCACACCCCCATGCTCACCAACCCCACCACAAGCAGCAAGGACTTGTCCCTTTTGTGATAGGAAGGAGCAATATAACCTAGGCTGAGACCTGTTCCCCAAACCCACCTAGCTCTGCCCCCTGCTCTGTAAGACATTGAAGGAACTATCAGAGCCCCCATAGTAAAGACCTGCTTGAATTTTCAGTGGGATCTAATATGCCTTTGCTGTACTGTGGTATCTCAGCCACATGGAGAAGGGCAGCTGGATCCTCACTGGAACCAGCTATGTCTCCAGCAACAGACACCCACAGGTAATGACCCACCTGGAGGAAGACCCAATCCCCCAAGACGACCTGCCAGAGACAGGCCAGACATCCATCTTGTAGAAGAAGAGGATGAGAAAAAGCTAGCCATGCCCTCCACTGACACTGAAATCCCTTAGGTATGTACAACCCCAAAAGCCCTTCTATATCCACAATTTTGTTGAATTCTTACAACAATATCCCATGACAAGCCCATTTTACAAACCTAGAAACTGAGTTTCACAGAGGTGAAGGTCTTGCTGTGATACGGGACTCTCTACTCATGGTCGCTTTTTGCCATTCAAAGTGGTGGATTTTAGTTTTGCTTTTTCCATGTGAGACATACTGGGAATCTGAAGGCTGGGTTGTCATCTAGACTTCCTCGTGCTGGAATCTCAGGCGTGCCACTTTACCCCAAAGTGGTGTTTTTTCTGTAAATAAAAAAGAATAATAATTATCTTCCCCATGATGTCACTGTGGAACAGTCAATAAAAATTATTAAAAAGCAGTTGCCAACAATTGAAGTCAAACACATAATAGGAGAGTAAATTGCTGTGTTCTACTAGCTTCTGCGGGAATTTAGATATAATTTTTTTAAAAAGACCAATCCCTGGATATCTATGCAAGTTAGAGGGAGTCATTAGTAGGATGGAAAGAAAAGTTGTTTTATTTTCTTGGTAGTTTTATTAATAAGAAAAAGAGTAGATGTGTATTGTTTCTCAAAAAAAATGAGATTTTCAGGAGCATATGGCAAATTAATCATTAAGACTCTCTTATGGCTCAGACCCACTTAATATGTTCTCTGTGGTGTGTGTACAACAAACCTGCAAAATTACATTACAGTGACTACTAAATGATTCACCAGGGTCACTTCCCCAGTAGATTTAGAATCTGGTGCTTATTCATGCTTTTCCCTCGGTAAGCTTTATTATCTCAATTGTGTTTGCCAGTGGCTAATTAGAGGTGATGGTACAAGCTAATTGCTAAAATTTTTCAGAACCATCAAAGTATTTATTTTGAGAGCAGGGGAAAATTACAGTTCCATCTTTGGCAGCAGAAGGGATGCATTGTGATTTTAACAAATGGTGTGTCTGCTGGTCCTTAAGAGTTCAGTAGCAGTTTAATATGCAAAGTGATTGGGTGACAGTGTGAACCTGGAGCTGAGATGCTACTATTGCTCCCAGTACCCAGGAGTACTCTGGCTACAGCTGGGCTCATGCTTCATGGCTTGAAATTCCCACAGCCTGGGTTTGGTCTATAAAGACTCTCCCCCTCCCCCACCCCTTTTGCAGCTCTTAACCATAGCAAGATTGGGAAAACTGTGGGGGTGACAAATTGAATCAGGCTCACAAGGGATGTCAGGGGAGGCCAGAGCAGATAAGCTCCAGGTGATAAGCAAAAGTGCAGTCTGATAGGGAAACGGCAGACTTCAAAGAGCAGAGGAAAATTGTTTGCCAGTAGGGCACAAAGACACGGATCAGGGAGAAGCAATGCTTAGTAACTCAGGCTGGCAGCCCTGAGAAGTCTGACAACCAATAGCCAAGTCATGAACCCTAGAATGAGGTCAGGAAGGAGACTGGCCCCTAGGGAGAAAGAAGGTGAAAGCCAGAGAAAGAGAAGAATCAAGGCTGGGTCTCAAACACAAAGCCTAGAGGCAAGAAGGATAAGGCTGAGTCCCAGAGAACAGGGGTTAGATAACTCACTTTTGATCCTGGGAGTGATGTTGGTTCTCTCAGAAATCAATTATTGGCCCCAGCTCATCAGACAGCTACAACACTTTCACCTTCATGATACTTTGAGATCAAGCAGCACCCAACTCACCTAGTATTCATTTCCGCTTCTCGTGTGCCTTCCCATCGTGTGTGTGTTGGGGGGCGGGGCAGGGGGCAGAGGGCGGGTGTTAGTGGGAGCTGGAAAGGGGAATTACAATTTCTTGGCTTACTTGTGGCTAGAGTTTGCCATGCAAATTAAATGCACTCATGCCAGATCTGAATGTGGGAAGTGGAGACCATTTCCCTGTTTTTTACCATTTCTCCAGGTAAGAAAAGTCATGAGGATATAGGGCTGTGGCAGCCATGACAATGCACCTCTCACTTCTGCACTGCAAGGACTGGGGTTGACAACAGTCTTGCTACTGCAGTCTGAAATCCATGCTCACATTTACTGCACCACAGCCATGCTTCTCACAGACTGATTCCAGCCAGTGACTATGCATGGCAGAGAGACATGAGCTCCTTGGATGGGTGACTTTGGCTCAAGGATTCTCCATATGCTTTGCTGGACATTTCTAAGGTCTTCTGTCTTGCAGATTGGATTCTCCGGCATCAGTAGAAAGAATCTAATAGAACATTGTCTTTTGCTCTCTGGTACTTGCCAATGTGAACCTCTTGAGGGAAGGCATAGTGGCCTCCTCATTTTGTGCCTTACAAACCCTGAAAAAGACAAAAAGGTTAAAGACTCTAACATCTATTTTATTCACGTATTGTTTGTTTTTGAATGAGTAGTGATGATAGCCATTACTAGCTGAATACCTAATCCATATGCCAAACATTTTACATTATGCCCTACTAAATGTATTAGCTCATTTTATTCAATTCTCACAACAAAGCAGGTCTTATTATTAGCCCCATTTTGCAAACGAGGACATTGAAGCTTAAAGAGATCATGCAATTTTTCCCAAAGTCACATGGCTAGTAAAGGACAGGCTCTCTTGCCTGATTTTCGTACAAACATCACATGCCAGGTGCCAAGCTAGGATCTACCTAGAATTTATTTCACATATTTCTTACTATAAAGGTAACACCAGCACCAGAAGTACAGCAGGATCAGGCTTGGCTTAGATGGATCTGATTAAGAAAGCTTCATTGCTGGGTTCCTTTTCAATGTCGTCATATCTATAATAATAGAGATTGCCAGATAAAATACAGGACACCCAATTAAATTTGAATTTCAGATAAATAATGAATAATCTGTTAGTATAAGTACGCCTTCAGCAGCATTTGGGACATACTGATTTACTTGAGTGTCTTGTATTTTCATTTCCTAAATTTAGCAACCCTAAAAACAATTAAGAAGCTGCTCCCAGAGATCAGGGGGCATGTTGTTCAAAGCCATAATGCAAAAAGCCAAGCAGTCTTAGAAGAAAGATAATAATAACAATAACAACAACTGCTAATTTATTGAGTACCCTTTTATGTGCTAGGCACTGTTCTAAGGTCTTTTATGTAATAATTCACCCTAACCTTACAACAAGCCGGTGGAATAGGCATTCCTGTTCTTCCTATCTTGCAGACCAACTGAGCCAGAGAAACTTGCCCGAGGACAGCCAGCCAGCAAGCAGCCAGGTTGAGATTCAAACCATGACTGTCATTTCTAGATACTACATGTTTAACCACTAACCTCATAAAGAGTAAGGCTCAATTTGCCAAATTATAAAGCGAATATTCAACTCAGGTTTACACAAATTCTATAGACTCTCTCTTCATTTGTTCTTTCTCATTTACCAAAAATCTAGAACCCATTTTTCTCCTTATAGGTATCATACCCTCGTAGGGCAGTGATCTAACCAGACACTATCTTTTTAAAATACAATTTTCCTGTTTAAAAATTATTATATGTTAAAGTTTTCTAAATTTTGGAATACAAAAAAGAATACAGAAAACTACAGAAAGTATACAGAAACTTAAAATTACCTTAATTTCCTTTGTTAACGTTCTGTATAGCTTTTCAGTCTTCCTATGAACGCATATTATTTGCTTTTTTAGACAAAATATGAATCATACTATACATACTGTTTTGTGGCTTCCATTAACAATATGCTCTGAACATCTTTCCTTTTTATAAATTGTCAAAATTGATGCTATGAACTGAATTGCATCCCCCACAAATTTCATATGTTGAATCTCTAACCCACGATGTGACTGTATTTGGAGAAAGGAAGTAATTAAGGTTAAATGAGTTCATACAGGAGGGGCTCTGATTCCAAAGAATTCATGTCTTTATAAGAAGAGACACCAGACAGCTCACTCACTTTTTCTGCCATGTGAGGGTATAGCAAGGAGATGGCCATCTGCCACCCAGGAAGAGAGCTCTCACTAGATGTCAACGTTGCCATGCATTGATCTGGGACTTCCAGCCTCCAGAACTAAGAGAAGATAAATCTCTGTTGTTTAAGCCACCCAGTCTGTGGTACTTTATTATGTAAGCCTAAGCAGACTAATAGTTTTTCAGGACTATAATACTCCATTGGATGGATACGCCAAAATTTATTCAACAAATTCCCTTGATAGGGCTTGCATCTGTGTCCCTACCCAAACCTCGTATTGAATTGTAATCCCCAATGTTGGAGGTGAGGCCTGGTGGAAGGTAATTGGACCATGGGGGTGGTTTCTCATTAATTGTTTAGCACTATCCCCTTGGCGCTGTTCTCATGATAATGAGCTCTCGTGAGATCTGGTTGTTTAAAAGTATGTAGCACTTCGCTCTGCTTTCTTTTCCTCCTGTTCCAGCCATGTGAAGTGCTGGCTCCTTCTTCGTCTTCTGCCGTGATTGTAAGCTTCCTAAGGCCTCCCTAGATGCCAAGTAGATGCCAGCATCATGCTTCCCATACAGCCTACAGAACTGTGAGCCAATTAAACCTCTTTTCTTTATAAATTGCCCAGTCTCAGGTATTACTTTATAGCAGTGTGGGAATATCCTCATTGCTAATTCTATAAATTGCATTCAAATTTGTACTTTCAGAAGTAACACCTATAAGTAAACTTTCCCAGCCCTAACTTAGGATAGATTTTTAGAGACAGAGTCACTGGTAGAGTGACCGATTGTCTCAGTTTGCATGAACTATCCTGGTTTTTGCACTGAAAGTCCCATGCCTTGGAAAACTCCCCCAGTTTTGGCAAACCAGGACAGCTAGCCACTGGATTTCTAGGTCAAAGACAATGCACTTTCTAGGGCTTTGTTACACATACTGCTGGATCACTCTCAAAATGGGTGCTAATTTCCATACCCACCATGTAAGAGGTTTCTCTTCAGAGGTATAGTACCTTATCTGTAATTTACATGAACATACTTTAGCATAGATAGTGAGATATAGGAGGTGTAAATTAAAAGTAATCTATACCCTAGAAAGATCTAATTAATATGTGAAGTACCCTAATCAGGAATCCACATTCTAGAGGTGGCTGGTTAGCATTTGAAAGACCCTAATCAGGAGCCCCTACTCCAACTCCAGCGCCTGCCACAGGCACTCAGACAAGTGCTTGCTTTAAATGCCATTATGTGAAGCTGCATATTGAGCTTGTTAATTAGCATAAGGGATATTAGAAATAATGTTTCATTGGTGAAATATGAGCTATTCAGAAAAACATTCTGCCTTGCATCAACAGAAGATTTTGAAAAATCTGGTATCAAAAACCAGCAGCCAAACACTTTTGGAGTAACACTTCAGTTGTGGAACTTTGTTTGATCCCATCACCCCTACATTTATCAGAGGATTAAAAAGGTTTGGAATTGGGGGAGTTATAATTTGGGGGTTACCACGATGACTAGAGGAGTGGGAGGAGGATGGATAGCAGAATTCAGTGCCTGGGTGGAGGCAAAATGTTCTACAATGCCCATGCCCAGACCACCCAAAATGCCATGGACACTGGAAGAGTTTCCAGCTAATGTTCAGAATCTTGTGGCATTTTTGCCTCAAAATTATCCTTCCAGGTTGGAGAACCCCAAGAACAGAGGTTCCACACTTAAGTGGTTTTAGAAGAGAAAGCAACTGGTCTTTTTGTGTTTTTGTTGTTTTACTGTATTGGGGACTTTTGTTTATTTATTATTTTTGTTGTTACATGTGGCTAGGAGTTCAAAGGTCTGAGAACCAGGCACTCCAATGTCGAGGGCAGGAGAAGACAGACGTCCTAGCTTAAGAAGAGAGAAGGAGAAATTGCCCTTCCTCTGCTTTTTTGTTATATTTGTGCCCTCAAGGAACTAGATGATTCCCACCCACATTAATTAAGACGATCTTCTTTCTTCTGTCTATGTATTCAAATGCTAATCTCTTCTGGAAACACCCTCATAGACACACTCAAAAATAACCTTTTCCCAGCTATCTGGCCATCCCTTAGCCCAGTCAAGTTGACACATGAAATTAAGCATCACATCATCCCACAAGGAGACCCACTGAGGACTTCTGCAGGCTGAGATGGGGGTGAAAGGAGCAGACTTGGGTTCATGGCTTTAAAGGAGGTCTGAGATGAGGGGATGTAAACTGGGATTGGGAGGTTCAGGGAAAGAAAGGGAGTCAGCATTAGGAGATTGCCAGGTACCCCTGGTGGCCGGGGACTGAGAATCTCCAGGGAGCTGAACCAGCCCCTGCCAACCCTCGGGGGTGGGGGGGGAAGGAGCACCTCATGCCACAAAGGTGGAAGGGCCACAGGAGCTTCTCCTTCCTATGCTCTTACATCCCAGTTGCCTGCAACCGTCAATGCATCGCCTATCACAATGGTCCTTCATCAGTTGCATATCAGAATCACTTGGAAATGTTTAAGATACAAGTACTCAGGCATAGATTCTGATTTAATTCGTCTGGGATTGGTCTAAGCATCTTTTTTTAATGTTCCCCTGGTAATTCTAATGGACTGCCATGTGCTAAGATAACCATAATTTTCTTTAGACCACCTCAGCACAGACTATATGGTGTTACTATGTTATAGGATTAAGCTGGTGGTTCTTGACCTGGGCTGTATGCTGAAGTCACCTAGGGAGCTTAAAAAAAATACCAATGCCTGGGTTCCACCGTCAGAGATTTCAGTGTACTTGGTTTGCAGGTGCATCGATTGTTTTAAAAGTTCTTCTAGTGACTCCAATAGAGATCAAGAATGAGGCCCACTGGATCAAGTTCTAGCTCAGAAACCATAGTATATTTAAGTGTGCAAAGTTTGGGGGTGGTCAGGTGAATTCTAATCTAGACACTCATTCTTCAAGAGAAATCTATACATTCTTCTACTATCCTATCTCAGTCAAAAAACAAATGCTTTGCAAATTAGCATACTGGACATTAAACATGGGTTTTTATTAAATTGCATGATGAATATGATGAGCAGGCTGTCCACTGGTGAAATCGCAGTTAGATGATATATATGTATTGGCTAACAATATTTTAGAGACACTTTCTACCTTTGCATAAATAGGGTATGGAAATTCAGTGAGGCCCGTATCCTTTAATATTAGGGATATTATTTTAGAAATATTACACTGAAACTATATTGGAGATATATTGCCCTAAGTGAAATCTCTAAGTGGTTCCATGTTCAGCTGTGAATTCTCAAAGGTGTTGGTTGCCTAATGCCATCTCTCGGGGTGACAGGAACTTTGGCCTTCACCACTGTATTAGTCCATTTTCACATTGCTATAAGGAAATACCTTGCTGAGCACAGTGGCTCATGCCTGTAATCCCAACACTTTGGGAGGCCAAGGTGGGTGGATCACTTGAGGCCAGGTGTTCAAGACCAGCCTGGCCAACATAGTGAAACCCTGTCTCTACTAAAAAGACCAAAAATTAGCTGGGCATGGTGGCACATGCCTATAGTCCCAGCTACTCAGGATACTGAGGCATGAGGATTGCTTAAACCCGGGAGGCAGAGGTTGCAGTGAGCTGAGATCACACCACTGTGCTCTAGCCTGGGTGACAGAGAGAGACTCTGTCTCTAAATAAAATAAATACATATGTATATACATACATACATACCTGAGACTGGGCAATTTGGAAAGAAAAGTTTTAATTGGCTCACTGTTCTGCAGGCTGTACAGGAAGCATGATGCTGGCATCTACTTGGCTGCTGGGGAAGCCTCAGGAAACACAATCATGGCGGAAGGTGAAGTGGGAGCAGGCACATCTTACATGGCAGGAACAACAGCAAGAGAGAGAGGGGGGAGGTGCTATATAGGTTTAAATGACCAGATCTCATGAGAACTCACTCACTGTCACAAAGACAGTACCAAGGGGGCTGGTGATAAACCATTCATGAGAAGATGTTCCCATGATCCAGTCACCTCCCACCAGGTCCCACCTCCAGCAGTGGGGATTACAATTCGACATGCAGTTTGGGCAGGGACACAAATCCAAACCATATTAACCACAAATGAACCTTTGATGCAAAGTGCTAAGTTGAGCACCTGGGAGCAAACTTCCTCAGGTATAGAACAGGTCATGAGAATCCTTTCGTGATGACTTGCTAACAAGCATTTAGTTAGTAAATGTTTGTACACCTAGCAGAACTGTACCTGAGACTTGGTTTAATTAAAATGTGTTAGTAAGGATGTAAAAGCATGTGACTCTCACCCACCCCACACTAGAGCAGCCCCTGATGGCTGTCAGCATACAGCTGGCCTGGCTCTAATAGCAAACTCATGGTGTTCTCTTCTAGAACATATGCAAAGCCTCTCTCATTGTTACAGAACAAGACGTAAAACACGACCACTCTGGAATCATGTCCCAGCAGAAGGATAAAACCACCAGCCAAACCATGAATATGGTCAAACACCTTCTACCAACTACTAGAGTGGCTGGTGCTTCTTTACCTCTTCTAGATTTGGCTCTACTCTGTTCCTCCCACCTCCTAAATAATTATCTAGGAACTATGCAATCACAGAATAGCCTTGCTTCTGACAGCACCCAATCCAGAGCAAAATCATATTCCCTTGAACTCTCCCCTAACACAAGCCTAAATTCTATAAAAAGCCCCTTCCATAACTCCCTTACTGAGATAGACCAAGGTTCTCCATTTTGTTTTGTCTCTCTTGTTACAATTACCTATTCATATTAGTGTTCTATTATATGTTAGTACATAACAAATTATTCGAAATTTAGATGCTTAAAAACAATACAAATTTATTATTTCAAATTTTCCATGGGGCAAAAGGCTGGGCTTGGGTAGCTGGATCCTCTCCCTAGACTCTTACAAGGCTAAAATCAAAACGTCAGCTAGGGCTACGTTCTCATCTGCAGCTTGGGGTTCTCTTCCAAGCTAATTCAGGTTGTTGGCAGAATTCAGTTCCTTGTGGGTATAGGACTGATAAGGTTTGGCTGTGTCCCCACCCAAATCTCATCTTGAATTGTAGTTCCCATAATCCCCACATGTTGTGGGAGGGACCTGGTGGGAGGTAACTGAATCATGGGAGTGATGGTTTTATAAGGGGCTTCCCCTTTCACTCGGTTCTCATTCTTCTCCTTGCTGCCTCCCTGTGAAGAAGGATGTGTTTGCTTCCCCTTCCACCATGATTGTAAGTTTCCTGAGGCCTCCCCAGCCATGCTGAACTATGAGTCAATTAAGCCTCTTTCCTTTGTAAATTACCCAGTCTCAGGTATGTCTTTATTAGCAGCATGCAAATGGACTAATGCAAAGACCGAGGTCCTATCTTCTTACTGGCTGTTGGCCAGAGGTTGCTTTCTGCTCCTAAAGGCCACCCTCACGTCTTAGCCCCATAAGCCCCCTCCATAGGCAATTAACAACTTGCTGTTTGCTTTCTTCCAAGCTGCCAAGATGATCTCTGTGAGATTTCATCTTCTTTTAAGAGCTCACCTGATTAGGTCAGGCCCACTCTATTTAATCTACTTTTGATTGTAGTAACGTAATCATGGGAATGATATTCCAATGTATTCACAGGTCCCACTCAGATTCAATTTAGACTCAAGGTGAGAAAATTATACAAAGCATGTTCACCAGGGAGCAGGTATCTTCAGGGCTATCTGCCTACCACAACAAGAAACCTATATTTGTTCAACTATGTTCTTCATGGTCTTTGGCTAAAAGACACCAACACTTTCCAACTATTATTTTCTATTAAAAGGAACCAAAGACTTGTGCATGATCAGACTACAACAAGTCAGTTCATAACATCAGGATGGGAAACCACTGGGCGCAGACTTGTCTGAACACTTGACTGAGTCCCAGTCAAACCATCTGGGTGATCATTCCCCCTTTTCAATAGCAAAGGCATTCAGAAGCCTCTTTCACTAACAGGCAGGTGGAGCTTGATACACAGAGGACTAAAAAGAAGCTAGTTGCCTAATGTAAACTATTTGCTCAATAACCAATTATCCAAATTTGGACTACCTATTAATGATCCATTCCCAAAGTTTAACTTTAATCATTTACTGAAATTTATCTTAAAAATATTCTTGAAATATTAAATAAATTTCAGGATATTCTCCTAAAGGTAGGAATAATGTGTAGCACTTCTCCCCTTCTATTAGAAGCAAAGAACCCTTGCTAAGTGAGAAAATAATGGTATTTCTATTACCTATGATTATGAGCACTTTCTGTCCCAGGAGTCTAATTTAAATTATCCTTTTGAAAGAAAATATCAGAATGGTAGGGAACCTGGAATTCACACCCAATGGAAATGTCTCTATGAACCACAACAGGTTGATTTGCCCCCTGAGGAGGTGTCCTTACAACCCCAATTATCCTTTAATTTATGTGAATCCTCTGATTTCTTCTTTCAGGCTTTTACTCAAATTATCAGGATCATTCATTCATTCATTCACTGAATAAATATATTTGAGCACCAACTATGTGCCAAGTGCTCACTATGGAGACACAGCAGTGGATCATAAAAATTTGCTTCATGGAACTTCATGGAACTTTCAATATAGCAGGAACACAGGCATTCAACAAATAATTCAAAAATGAATACATAATTACAAACTCCGATGACTAGTTGGAAGGAAAAGTGTAAGAGAAAGAAAAAACCCTATGGTTATCATGGTTATTTTAACTATGGGGTGAAAATCGTGAGTTTGAACATTTTCTCTTTTTTCCTGTTTCTACAAATATTGATTAGGAAGACATCTAGCCTCCCAGAAAATGAGGAGGGCAAGTAGGAATGTGCCAAGGGATAAGGAATCCACTCATCCCTTTCCGGGATTAAAAAACAGGTCAGCTGGTAATATGGTTTGCCTGTGTTCCCACCCAAATCTCATCTTGAATTGTAATTCCCATTATTCCCACAGGTCCAGGGAGGGACCCAGTGGGAGGTGATTAGATTATAGGGGCAGTTTTCCCCATGCTGTTCTTATGATATTGAGTGAGTTCTCATGAGATCTGATGGTTTTATAAGTGTTTGACAGTTTCTCCTTCACATGCTCTTTCCTACCACCTTGTGAATAAGGCACTTCTTCTTCACCTTCCACCATGATTTTAAGTTTCCTGAGACCTCCACCACTATGTGGAACTGTGGGTCAACTAAACCTCTTTCCTTTATAAATTACCTAATCTCAGGTATTTATAGCAGTGTGAAAATGGACTAATACAACTGGTGATCATAACCTACCACTCACTTCAATGTAAATGGAACAAGTCCTACCACACAAAGATCTCTACCTCCTGATATTACTCTCTGTATCAATCTTTGTTACAAAGTCAGCTAAAGGAGAAGTATTTTTTCTATCTATGGCCATACCACCCAGAACACGTATGATCTCAGAAGCTAAGCAGGGCCAGGCCTGGTTAGTACTTGAATGGGAGAAGTACTTTTTCCCACTCTGAATAAAAAAGTAATCTACTTTGGCCGGGCATGGTGGCTCACACCTGTAATCCCAGCATTTTGGAAGGCCGAGGCAGGCAGACCACGAGGTCAGGAGATCGAGACCATCCTGGCTAACATGGTGAAACCCCATCTCTACTAAAAATACAAAAAATTAGCCAGGCACAGTGGCGGGCGCCTGTTGTCCCAGCTACTCGGGAGGCTGAGGTAGGAGAATGGCATGAACCCAGGAGGCGCAGCTTGCAGTGAGCCGAGATAGCACCACTGTAGTTAGGCCTGGGTGAAACAGCAAGACTCTGTCTCAAAAAAAAAAAAAAAGAAATCTACTTTGGATATACTTAATGCCCATTAAAATTGTATACGAAAATCAGGAGTACCTCGTGGTTAAATATTTACCAAACATGGATAAATCTTAGATCTTATATAGAACAGTATAATCCATGTCAGTTTATTCATTCTAAAATAGGGATTCTCCATCATAATTATCCAGGTAAAGTCAGCTACTCTCTAAAACCTTCCTTAATTTCCCCAGGCACGGTTATTAATAGTGTTATGTCCTCCTCTCTGCTCCCACAAGACATATTACAGCTCATTTTTGCATAGTACCATAAATATCTTGAGGTCTTTAAATTTATTTTTCTGCCTGTTTTACTCAACTGAGGCCCTTAAAGAGAGCAACTTAGTCTTATTCATTTGTGTGCCCTTAGTACCTAGCAGAGTGCCAAGTTTACGGTAATAAAATCGATAAAAGTTTGAGTGAACAAAGAAAAAGGTTTCTACAAATTAAATCTCATTATGATGAATGGAGGAGGATGACTTGACTTTTGACTTGGGCCCTGAATGAGGAGACAGACATGCAATATCTAGGCAGGAATAGCAGTCAAGGGAGAACTGCAAGTGCCAAGACATGAGGGGAGGAAAAATGATACAGAAATCAGGCACCTGGGGATAGTAAAAGAGAGTGGAGAAGCTGAGATCAGAGAAGAGAGGTAGAGGCTAAATAATGTAGGTCAGGATAAGAAGTTTAGAGATCCAAAAATAAAAATAAAAAATAAAGAAGTTTGGTAAGTGTATTATATACAAAGGATTCATTTTCAGCAGAAGAATTACATGATATATTTTATATTCTGAAAAGATTACCCTGGGTATTGTTTGGAGGATTCATTTCAGAGGTGCGTGCTTGGGAGCAGGGAAACCCTAGGATACTATGGCAGAAGTCTAGGCAAGAGGTATTGATGGCTGGTTCTAGAGCAGTAGCAAGTGAAATGGACAGAACTAGCTGGACTTGAGATATCTTTTAGAGGTAAAGGCAGCCAGACTTGGTAAGTTAGATATGAACAGGGCTATTATTTAGCTGGTGAGTCCCTAGAGAGCTCCCCAGTTATCAAAGTATTGAAATATTTTTATACCTTTTGGAAAACAGTCACAGCCAAGGGCCCCCAAGTGGGGCCTCAGTTGCAACACCCCAATACTCCTGGACTTCCCTATAAGCAAAAACAAAAATATTAATGCCTGGCATGGTAGAGACCTCTCTAGACAGCTCTATTCCCTGACTCTGTTCTGATTGATGAGTCCCATTCTGTACCATTAGCTAAAGATCACAACTGGCTTTAGAGGAAAAGAAACAGGAGGAATGGGGAACACCTAGGCTTTTGGCTTGAGCTGTTGGATGCATGGCGTTGCTATTTACTGACATGTGGAGGAATTGGAGAGGAACAAGTTTGGTAGGGGGAAAATAATAATTCTGTTAAATTTGGTACTTATTACACATCCTAATGGAAAAGAATAGAAAGACTTCATAGGCCAAGTGAAGGTTTCCAGTCACTACCCACACCAGCAAACCTCAATGCAACAAAACTCTAAAACAATAAAACTTTCAAATGACCTTAAGAATCATTTTACTGCAAGTAAATTTAGAATTTACTACAAATAAATCTGTAATTCTCTGGATTCTATTAAAACCACGAAGTACCTCCAAGCCCTTTATAAATCCAGGTTCTAACAATCCATTTGGATAGCTGTAGTAGGCTGAATAATGGCCACTCAAAGATATGAAGTCCTAATTCTGGTACCTATAAACATGTCCTTATTTGGAAAAACGGTCTCTGTAGACGGGATTAGATTAAGAATCTTGAGATGGGTCGATTGCCCCGAATTATCCAGGTGAACCCTAAATGCAATCACATGCATTCTTAGGGAGGCAGAGGGAGATTAGAGCAGACAGAAAAGGAGAAGACCATGTGAAGACAGAGGCAGAGATTGAAGTGATGTGGCCACAAGCCAAGGAATGCTGGCAGCCACCAGAAGCTGGAAGAGGCAACAAACAAATTCTCCCCTAGAGCCTCCAGAAAGCAGGCAGCACAACTGACACTTTGATTTCAGCTCAGTGATAACAGATTTCAGGCTCCTGGCCTAGAGAACTGTGGGATAATACATTTCTTTTGTTTTAAGCTGCCACACTTGTGGTTATTTATTACAGCAGCCACAGGAAACAAATACACCCACCAAAGTAATCAAGAAGAAAGGCAGTGTTGTATACCTCTTATAAATGAAAACCCAGCGGCTGGGCACCGTGGCTCACACCGGGTAATCCCAGCACTTTGGGAGGCCGAGACGGGTGGATCACGAGGTCAGGAGATCGAGACCATCCTGGCTAATATGGTGAAGCCCTGTCTCTACTAAAAAAATATATAAAAAATTAGCCGGGCGTGGTGGCGGGTGCCTGTAGTCCCAGCTACTCAGAAGGCTGAGGCAGGAGAGTGGCGTGAACCCAGGGGACAGAGCTTGCAGTGAGTGGAGATGTGCCACTGCACCCCAGCCTGGGTGACAGAGTGAGACTCCACCTCAATAAATAAATAAATAAATGAAAACCCAGAGATAGGGATGCTTATGACATTGTGTTATAAACTCACACTACTCCTATTCCCCCCAGCTAGATGAGGCTAGATGACTTTCCCTAGACCTCCTTTAAAGCCTTTATTTCCTGTGAGATAAGAGAGAGGGGACAAAGACTTTCCCTGACCAAATTTTAGTCAGGCTCCTCTGAGCCCTCCTTTCAACTAGGCCTCAACCTTGGCCCCTGTCCTACCTTCCACCTGTCTAGCCCACTTTTAGAAAGAATCCTGCTGTCAATTGAGAGAGAATCTCTCATCCTTAATATCTAATCACCCTTAGTATATAACCAAGTTTCTCACCCCCTACCTTTGATGTATATGTCCATAACCTGCCTTCAGCAAGAAAAAATTCCCCTACCCCCTCTTAGAAATTTTTCATTCACTGACCCCTTTACCCTTCTCCTTGGCAATAAATATCCACTTGTCCTTGTATTTGGAGATGAGCTTGATCTCTGTTTTCCATTGGAATAAAGTTAGCCCCTATTGTGATTGTCTTAAATAAAGTTTTCTCACTATTTTAACAAGTGTCAGGATAACTCATTCTTTAATAGAGAAAGCATTGCTAGCTTATCAGCTATTGACTTTCAGACATTGGAAACTTCAAATGGCTTTCCTTTCTAGATGAGATGTTTGGTGCTGCTGAAAATCTCATAGGTGAGCAAGAAAAGGAACTATCCCAGTTCTATTTGGATATACTTGGTCTTTAAGTTGAAACTCCTCATAACTTTTGTATTCCAAAGAAGACATAAATGGGACAACTCTTTCATTTAACGTCTTTTCCCTCCTTCCCTCCTTCCATCCTTTCCTTCCTTTTTTACTTCTTTCCTTTCACCCAATTATTCATTCACTCATTCAGCAAACATTTGCTGAGGCATGACTGTGCACAAAGCTACCTGCTCTGGACCATAGAGCTAGAAACGTGTAGATATGATAGTCACCAACCCCAAAGGAGGAAGGAAACCACAGTAGGGCTCCGAGCCCGTACCTGGTATCTGGCTCTATTCTGGAAATTTTCACATGTATTGTCACATTTAATCCACCCACAGAACCAGAGAGATGATTGTTATTATTCTCTTTTTCCCTAACAGATGATGAAAAACTGAGTCTTAAAAGAAATTGAGTATGAGGAGAGATGAATAGAGCACAGACTATTTTTAGGGTAGACAAAATATCCTGTACAATATCATAATGGTGGATACAGATTATTATACATTTGTCTAAACCCATAGAATATACAAGCCCAAGAGTAAACCTGATGTAAATTATGAACCTTGGGTAATAATGATGAGTCAATGTAGGTTCATCAATTGCAACAAATGGACCACTCTGGTGGGGGATGTTATAATGGGAGAGGCTATGCCTGTGTGGTAGTAGGAGGTATAAGGAAAGTCTGTTTATCTTCCATTTTTCTGTGACCCTGAAACGGCTCTATAAGAATGAGGACTTTTTTAAAAAGAAAAAGAAGAAAAATTGAGCAGCTTACTCAGGACCATGCAGTTACTCTTTTTTCTCACTGTGCTGTAACAAGATATGCACACAAATAACTATGATACAAGGTAAATGGGAACAACTTTGCTACTCTAGAAGAGAATAGGTAAATCCTTTTAGAGTTCAAAGAATTTTTAAATATAGGAAAGAAAGAACTATTTTGTGTCTGGTATGTGCTAGGCATTTCACCTTGCATATCCACATGCATAATCTTTCTTTATGGAAGTAAGAACACGTAATATGGGCTCTACCCTCTTCATAAGTTTTCAACTGGACAATACAGTATTGTTGACTACAGGCACAATGTTGTACAGCAGGTCTCTGGAACTTATTCATGTTTCATCACTGAAACTTTATACCTGTTGAACAGCAACTCCCCATTTCCCCCTCTTCCCCGCTCCTGGTAACCACCATTCTACTGTCTGCTCCTATGCATCATCTTGTTCAATTCTTTCCACAGCCCTATGATGAGTGACATCCCACTTTCAGCTGGAGAGACTGGGGAAGTCATCAAGGAAAAGGCAATTCTAATTTTGGGCTTTGAAGGGTGAGGAAGGTAGAGCATACAGAATTGGAAAAAAGGCACATTCCAAGGGAGGAAACAGAAAAGTTCTAGAAAAAGAAAAAACATTTTTACAAAGCAGCTGTTGGTGAAATTGGCTGGAGCAGTAAAAGCACAATAGGAAAGAAAAAAGGTAGAGAGCCCTGAAGGCCATGTTCAAATATGTGGGCCTTGTTCAGTGAACCATGGGAGCTCTTGACAAGGAGGCCAGGGCTGAACTTGAGGAAAAGTGTGTCGTGGAGGATGAACGGGAAGAATGAAGGGAGAAACTAGGGTCAAGGGAGCGAGGTGGTAGGCTTTGGAAATAATCTAAGGAGTGGTTGTAAGACTCTTCTGAGAAAGGGGACAGGCTCGGAGGGAGGGGGGAATCACACAGTGAGATAAAAATTGACATCATTTTTCAAAAAACATATTAAAGATAGGAAAAAAAACAGCTTAAAATAACTGGTTCTCTTTTGGAAAAGAGGGAGCAACGGGCCAAGGATATTTTCTTTTAAACCTATATTTGTTAGATGGCAAGGGCGGCAGCTGGCCAGTAGTAAATTGTTCCTTATCTCTAGACCTAGGCCATTTCACTCTTCTACCCAGAGTTTGAATAATAGATGTTCTGCTCTTCCAAGGAAAACAATGTCATTGAAAAAGGTGGAACAGGATGGTTTGTTTTTTATGGACAAAGTTTCATGCACTGTGTCAGAAGTCATCTATTTCTTTCCCAGTTGACCCAACAGCCCAACCAGCTGACCTTGAAAAGTCATTTTCTTTCTCTTTTCAGTACAGTTTTAAAAATTGAAGTGTTCTTAGAATTGGAGAGACAAACCTAGGAATGAAGCTTGCAGCAAAAAAAAAAAAAAAAAAAAAAAAAAAGGTAATCGATCTGTTCAAAAGTTCTCCTGATAAGACTGAACAGTGAAGGCTAAGGATTATGCAGTGATGGGGAAGGAACTAATTTACTGGCACCTGTTAGTCCTCAATACTCAGCTTGATGTTGTGAATTTAACAACAAACAAGACAATCCCTACCCTCAGTGCACTCACAAACAGATAGAAAAATTACTTGAACAACTAGTTTGGAAGGGAAATTTCCAGAGGTATTCAATGGGATGAAAACTCTGGCGATCTTCGGATTTATGGATCACTTTCTGATCAAGTCTGATGGACATCTATACCTGCAAACATAGTATACGTTCAGTGATTGAAAAGTCGAATCTTGTGTAATAGTACTCAAAGCTGCCAAATCATTTGAAATTATGACTCTCTTCTCCTTCCTAGGAGGAGGGGGCAGAGAATGGAGAAAGGGGGAAATGCGGTCATTTTCTCCACCTAACAATGTTCCCCTCCCCCAGCTGATCAATGGCAGTTCCTGATCCCCTCAAGACTGGGTTAGGGCATGGTTGGATAGGTGTCAGTGGTAGGAAAAAAAGGTAAGGGTAACAGGTAACATCTTCCCTGACTGGGTGTATTGTAAGCAGTTTGGGCAGTGGGGATGGGAAATGTTAAAGCTGCTTTCTAGGGAGCTCACTGATAAGCTTCCACAGGCCATGCCCTTGATCGAAGTAAAAGCCCACTGATCCAGCATTACTCACTCTCTCCTCTGCTCCTAGGAATCCAGAAGTGCAACTTACCCTCGGTTGAGGCCATTTCTCCCCACTTGATAACCCTATTGGATAAGATGATAAGATGATCCCACCCAGGGTTGTCAGATAAATTGTTCTGTCTTTGTCCAGAAAAAATCTGAGAGTGAAGACTAACCCCCAGAAGGAACAATTCTCATCCTCTGATATCCTGGGTGGGGTGGGGGAATGGGGGTCAGGCAACAGGCCCGTGTGTTCCCCTAACTGCTCACTGCATGGTGCCTTTGAACTCCTCTTCCTTGACAAGGTGAAGGGGAAAGCTCCCCTTTCAACCCTCCTCCTTGGATGGAGAACTCACAACTCTTGTGGAGGACTCACAACATAGCCACAACTCTTTCCAAAGAAATCCCCATAAATTTTTCCTAAATCTGCACTCTCTCAACCCTATTATATCCTGGGTATGGTGGGGGTTAGGCAAGCTACGGTTTTCAATTTATCTTCTCTAGAATTTCTGCATATGACCTAAAATCTACTATAGAATGTATGGTGTTGCATAAACTGAAACCTTCAATATAATATCCTGTTTAATTTTCAGAGACAAAGTTGAAAATAAATTACAGAATTTATTAATAGCAGTAAGTGCTTGATGCTCCTACGCAAAGCCCTTGTAAGGAATAAAGAATACAGATGAGGCCAAAGCCTCTTGCTTCCCAGTCATTAACTCTCTCCCTCTTCCATTCCCCAAACACCAGGGTGGGAGGCTATCACTGCATTGCAAGGAAAGACCGATGTGAAGTAGCACCCCATGACTACTAGAGGAAGTGGAGCATGTCAAATCACTAAAAAAAGTACATCTGACCCCAAATCAAGTGCTGAGTAATCCAGGCATCTTGGCGCAGAGTGAGAACAATGAACAGGGTCAAGTTGTCATCTGGGAGAAAAGAACGCTGATTAGAGATGAGTAAGTGTCTTCCACCACAGTAAAGGACCCAAGACCTTTAACCAGTTCTTAGAGCAGGAAGTAAAAGAAGAAGGGGCAGGAGAGCCCACCTTGTAAAAACTGAAGAAGTGACAGAGAAAGAGATTGGCTTGGTTTCTGCCACTGAGTAATACAAAGCCTTCTAACTGGCCAAGTTATGTATCATGAATAGGCTACAGTTGTGCCGCAAGACCTTCAATCCATAAACCTTTGGGGCTGCCAGAGACCCTGGATGGGTCACCTCTGACCATGAGCAGCCTTATTTGGGGCTCTTCAGAGGGTGGCTCAAGATTAGTGGGATCAGTCTGTATACCCCACAGTCACTGTAGGCAGGAGTGTAATAAGCACCACTGTGAAATAATGGCTCAGCTTCAACATACTGAGCAGAGCCAAGGAGAAGCCCTTCCATCCAGACAGCCACACCAGCAGCTAAAATGGTGTGGGATTGCTGGATCAAATGCTGGATCTAATGGATGAGCGAACAGCTCATCATGGACAAGTGGCCCATGGGGCTTATAGAGAAGTTTGTGTTCCTGATGTCCAAGGTCTATAGTACACAGACTAAGGTGCCACCTGTCTGCATTGAAAGACAGGGACCTCAAGCTCCTGAGGTGGCCTGCCAACATATCTGGAATTTCTGGTCATTTGTTATTGATGTGCACTTTAATGGCATTCAAGCCATCTGCATGGCAACTGCTCTAATGATATGTGAGAGTTCTGTAAATGAGAGTCACATTATTATTCTGAAGTACCAGATATGACAAAGTTAATTACATTTGAAAAGCATTTGCATTATCACAAGACATTTCAATAGTAAATTTGTCAATGAAAGGATGGTCTATTATAGTCCTAACTATAATTTCAACTATTATGAGTTTTGGAATTGTTGTAAAACAATAATCTAAATACTATTTTATGACATCTTCATGCAAATTCTCTCACTGATGGTGAATATCCAAAATTTGAAGAGATCATTGTTAAAAAACTTTTGATCAGGAATTGAGTGTAGCCATTTCAAGCATCAAACTTGATATTAAAAAGTTGTGTTTCTAAAAGTAAACTCTCATTTTTAAAACTGACAATACCCTATTTAGATGTTCTATGCAAACACATCTAATATCTTTCTCAATTTTTTCTTATAAGAAATTGGCTTCGACATACATATTTTAAAGTTTTGATGTTTTATAAAGAATATATTCCTTGTGTATAGCATCCAAGGACTGTTCCATAAAAAATTTGATCCTCAACTATGGCTCTCAGTCTTCAAGATTCTAGCATGAACCTCCTCTCCTTTTAAGAGGAGGGTTCACAACTACCTCGTTCTTGGGACCCTCCTTCCCATGGGAGGAAATAGAACAACCTGGGTCCTGTGTTTTCCCAGGTGTTTTATCTTATTAAGTCGTGTTTTCTTATGTGATCACCTTTTTAAAGAAATATTTAAAAACAATTTTTAAAGACACATGGTGGAGATTTCTTAAAGAACTAAAAATAGAACTACCATTTGATCCAGCAATCCCACTGCTGGGTATCTACCCAGAGGAAAAGAAATCATTATACAAAAAAGGTATTTGCACACACGTTTATAGAAGCACAATTTGCAATTGCAAAAATGTGGAACCAATCCAAATGCCCAACAATCAATGAGTGGATAAAGAAACTGTGGAATATATATATGATGGAATACTACTGAGCCATAAAAAGGAATGAATTAATGGCATTTGCGGCAACCTGGATGGGATTGGAGGCTATTATTCTAAGTGAAGTAACTCAGGAATGGAAAAGCAAACATCGTATGTTCTCACTCATAAGTGGGAACTAAGCTATGAGGATGCAAAGGCATATGAATGATACAATGGACTTTGGAGACTCACGGGAAAAGGGTGGGATGGGGGATGAAGGATAAAGACTACAAATTGGGTGCAGAGTGTACTGCTCAGGTGATGGGTGCACCAAAATCTCACAAATCACCACTAAAGAACTGAAGTAACCAAACACCACCTGTTCCCCAATAACTAATGGAAACAAAAAATTTTAAAGACAATTCAGTCTACTTTTAGCATATGCTTCGGCTAATTTTACTATTTTCATTATTTTATCTTTAAAAATATTTTCTCTACACTTCTAACTTATTTGTAATATTTTATCTTTTTTCTCCTGGTCCTACACCATTGTAGAATGGGAAGATTGGAGAGGTGAAGGTCCTCAGGGACTTTTTTTTTTTTTTTGAGGCGGAGTCTTGCTCTGTCGTCAGGCTGGAGTGCAGTGGTGTGATCTCAGCTCACTGCAACCTCCATCTCCCCTGTTCAAGAGATTCTCCTGCCTCAGCCTCCCGAGTAACTGGGACTACAGGTGCGCACCATCACACCCAGCTAATTTTGTGTTTTTACTAGAGACGGGATTTCACTATGTTGGCCAGGATGGTCTCGATTTCTTGACCTCATGATCCACCCACCTCCTCAGAGACTTTTCAGAAAAGACATCATAAAAGGGAGCCAGGTCAGAGAAAAAGGCTATTCAGCCAGGTCCACTCCTCAGGAAGCCTTGCTGAATTTCTCCTATGTCATCATCCGTTGTTCACCTACTACCTGGAGGCACGTGCACAGGCTTTTGCTAGTCATCACAATGACTCAGCGGCCTAGGTATTAGTAGGTCCAATTTACAGAAAAGGACACTGAGGCTCAAAGCGATCACTTAGCAATCACCCAAGGGCAGCAGACACATCTTTAGTGAGAAGGTGAGTGCGTCAGGAGTTACAAAATCTGTTTGATTTTGAACCTGTGCTCTTTCTGCTCCTTCAGTGCTTCTCAAACTTTAATGTGCTTATGAATCACCTGGGCATCTTAAACTGCTGATTCCAATTTAGCAGGTCTGAGGTGGAGCCAGAGATTCTGCATTTCGAATAAGCTCCTAGGTGAGGCTGAGGCTGCTCCCCTGAAGACCACACTGGAGCTGAAATATGCACGTGGTCTTCACCAGGCCTCTCTGGGTACACCGGCATCAAGGAGGCAGCCCAGATAGAGCTGTCGAGGTTATCATTTACAGCAGATTTCTCCTTTCGCTGACTGGCTTTGATCAGGGTTCCAATGGATGGCTAGCAAGAGCTAATTACAATCCCAACTAATTCACTGTGTCAGTTGTTATTCATTAACAAATTATGTTCCTGACAAACTGCTCTAGTGTGGTACCCTAAGTACTGTAATTAAAATCTTAGAAAGTTGCCTGTGGGCCTAATTGATTTCCTTAATGTATTACTCAGACTAAACATTCCATTATTTTGTGTCTTGATGTTTATGAAGGGGCGGAACTGCTGCTGCCACCCAGGCGGCAGATAGATCCATCTCTGGGTTAATGGGGGAGCTTTTCTGCTCTTGGGTCCTACTCAGTTCCCCAGCAGCACTGCCCAGGCATTCAAATGACAGTGGCGTTTCTCTCCTCCAGAAGTGTTTACATAGAAAGGGATGGAGGGCAATTGGAATTACGTCTATAATTTGTATTTCCTTCTTGGGTTCCCAAGCTTTCAAAATTTATGATGACTCTTTAGCGTTGCTTCCCGAGGCTGTAATGATCCCATATCCTATAGCTCCCCGTTTACCACTGAGCACCATGAGGCAGAACAGGAGACGGAGCTGGGGTCAGTATCTAAAAATGTCTGTGCTTCGTCCAAAGCCGTGTGTGATGCAGACAAATCCAAGTGTATTTGGCAAATGTGGAATGTTATGAACAGCCAATATGTATACTGCAGTTCACTGAATTGGACTACGTTTATTCATTCATTCATGTATTCAACAGCCTCTGAATAAGCACCTAGCACGGGCCAGGCCCAATGCTAGGTTTAAAACACAAATAGAAAACAATCAAAATAAGCACAAACGTAATAACAGCAAACAGTCATGTATTGTAAGCCAGGCACTGTTCTAAGTGCTTTAAATATATCCACTCCTTTTATTTTTGCTTATTTCCTTTGAAGAAAGTACTCCTATTATCCCTATTTTACAAATAAGAAAACTGAAGCAAAGGGAATTTAAGGAACTTGCCTAAGGTCACACAGCCAGGATTCAGGTCCAAACAGTCTGGCTCTGAGTCCTCGCTTGAACTACTATGCTATACCGCCTCCCTTCAGTATTATAATAATAATAGCTGGTGAGTATTCATGAGTAAATCCTCATGAATAATTTTATACTCACAAACTCACAAAAAACCTAATGAGGGCTAGGCATGGTGGTTCACACCTGTAATCCCAACACTTTGGGAGGCCAAAGCAGGAGGATCGCTTGAGCCTAGCAGTTCGAGACCAGCCTGGGCAATATAGTGAGACTATGTCTCTACCAAAAAAAAAAAACATTAACCAGGCATGGTGACATGGGTCTGTAGTCCAGTTACTTGGGAGCCTGAGGCAGGAGGATTGCTTGAGCCTGGGACATAGAGGCGGCAGTGAGCCGTGATTTCACCACTGCACTCTAGATTGGGCAACAGCGTAAGATCTTGTCTCAAAAAAACAAACAAACAAAGCCTAATGAGATAGGTCTTTATCCCCATTTCACAATTGAGGAAACTGAGGCACAGAAAGGTTGCTGAACTGCCCCCAAAGTCTTGGGTTGTAAGTGGCAGAGTCAGGATTTGATCCCAGGTCTGGAACCTAACATTTCAATCTCCACGCATCCTATGTAGAACTAGCAGAGATCTGAGAAATCAAATAGGGATTTGGGGCCAGCACCATCCAACCAATTTAAATAATCAAACTCCGGGTATCCCTGCCCTAGATCTCCAGCAAATGAAGCTACGGCCCAGGTGGAAAGTGTAGAGCTGGAATGTGAAGCTGTGGGCTGCCCTCCGCCTCTGCATTAGAGTATCTCTTACACAGCCCTAGTTCTCTGAAGTTCCTTCCTGTGCCCTCTGCCCTACTCACCTTCACTCAGCATCCAACACAATGCGGGTGGATCACATGTGTCCAAAGATAAACTTAGCAGGCTCACTATACATTGCATGATATGCTACATACTGTATGTTAAACTAAAATGTGCTTCATTTGGGAACACCCCTTTTTTTATGAGTGTACATCAAAAATGCAAACTATGAAAGGCAAATATTTCTTACGGTTTCGTAATTCTTAACAAAAAAAGAAAAAGAAATGCTAGCTATGAGGTCTTTTGGAAGAATTGGGCTATTTTGTTTGCTAGAATAGGAGACAGGGCTTTTTCAATAGGTTATTTCTCACGCTGCATGGATGCGTTAAGCGAGGGCTCTCACCTTCTAGTGGCTGCCCCAAGAACGATGTGGTTCATTAGTGTGTTCAAGCCCTTTCCTTGGTTCTGGTACTTTACATGAGTCAACACCATTACCCTCTGAGTCATTTCCTGTAACCCTGGTTCACAGGCTTCCACATCACAAGTTGTGTTATTTCTGCTTCTCTTCAACAAGTGCCGTTGCATACACCCAATCCAGGCCCCTCCAAATCACTTTTCTCCTAGATTTCTGCCCCAGGCATCACAAATTCCTTTCCCTCTGGTTTCTGAGAATGATCTTACTATGCACCATCTTTAGTGAGCTCCTTTCAATAGTTTCCACTCGTGGTTAAGCACTTTCTCCCCTCAGCTAAACCAACTGTGTATCCTTCCATTGAAATGTCCCACTAGTAGAACAAACTGGCTTTTCATTCATCACTCTCAACACATGATGTTCTTAAATTGTTTTTTAAAATGCATGTGTGGCCGGGTGCGGTGGCTCATGCCTGTAATCCCAGCACTTTGGGAGGCCGAGGTGGGCAGATCACCTGAGGTCAGGAGTTCGAGACCAGCCTGTCCAACATGGCAAAACCCTGTCTCTACTAAAAATGAAAAAATTAGCCAGGCGTGATGGTGGGTGCCTGTAGTCCCAGCCACTCAGGAGGCTGAGGTAGAAGAATCATTTGAACCTGGGAGGCAGAGGTCGCAGTGAGCCGAGATCACGCCATTGCACTCCAGCCTGGGCAACACAGTGAGACTCTGTCTCAAAAATAAATAAATAAATAAAATTAAAATGCGTGTTTGTGTGTTAGCAGTCAATACCACAAATTTTTATTCATATTACTAAGCAAAAACTAGATTTAAGAAAACTAGATTTAAGTTTAAAATATCGTGTAGATATATTCATCCCAGCAAATTCCATTGTCAATTCTTATGTAGGACTTTGTAGCATTGATGACTTGGCTAATAAAAATGCTGTCGGAAGTTAAGAACTACTTCTGGGCTAGTGCTCCCTTTCAATAAGAGTTCTTAAAAACACTTGACCAAACTAGGGAACTTGGTTATGCATTACAGATTTTTCTCTCTACACAAGCCACCATTTTTAAGCAAAGAAGGAGTCAGTGCAATTGTCAGAAAAGTGTCAACCATTCTCTCCAATTTATTTGATATAAAAAAAATCTGGTTTAGGATATGTATTCAGAATACAGACTATTTGTGAGGCATGATGCTGGTACCTGGTAAAGACAGGATTTCTTTCTTTTTTGTTTGTTTGTTTTTTACTGAAATGGCCATTGGGATGTTGCTCAGAGTTTTTTAGTGTGGGGAGGCTGAGAGGCTCTCAGGCTCTTTGGAATGAACTTATTTTTGGAAAATTACCAAGATTGATCACATAGTTACATAAGTATAAAGCAAGTACCCATTTCTTGTCCTTGGCGACAGCAGTGAAGTCACCATAAATCTGAATGCTGATGGTGCAGATTAAGATGCCAACTCTTTTGGCCAGTGATGTAAGTACGTATCTTTAGCCAGGACCATGCCCTTGAAGAGGGGGAGAAATGTTTTGCCCAAATGTGAATCTAGGGCATTGGTATTTAAGTGGTATTTGAAGAGTAAATGATAACAACCTTGTGGAATGTACTTTCAACAATTTGGGTACTTTCAACTTTTTTTGAAGCACAGTTTTTAAAGACTTTTTAAAAGATATTTTACATTTTACATTGTATTCCAGTAAACACACGCAACAAATATCTTAACAGTAACAAAATTTCATTAAGCAATACTTATCTTTATTATATGTAATGCTTTCTGCTATGTCTATATATTCCTATTTCATTGTTTTTAATGTTGGTCATGTCCCATTTAATTGATACTACAACCTGTTAATGGTTCGTAATTTGTAGTTTGTAAAACACTGAACTATTGTGATTGCTTTATCTGGATCCAGTGGTCAACCACATTCTGTGAAGGGGAGTGGTTAAGAAATGAGTAAGCCTTCCACTGAGCAGAGGAGCACCTTCTCCAGTCTGTGGAGTCCAGGAGGTTTGGGGCCTTAGACTTTAAGGTTTGAGGACCTGTAGTGATGACAGCAAGGTACTATAAAATACTTCAACATAGACAGTGAGATACTACATATGTGCCAGTTAGTTGCAGCTTTAATTAGGAGCGGCCAGGGGTGGTCAGCTGGCACTTTCACCTTGAGTCCGCCCACCAGTGCTTCTGTTGTCTGCATCTCAATCAATAGTCAAAGCTTCACCATTGAATAACTTACACACTGAATATCAAAAATGGGTTTTTATTGGCCGGGTGTGGTGGCTCACACCTGTAATCCCAGCACTTTGGGAGGCCAAGGTGGGCAGATCATGAGGTCAAGAGATCGACACCACCCCGGCCAACACGGTGAAACCCCGTCTCTACTAAAAATACAAAAATTAGCTGGGCGTGGTGGCACGCACCTGTAGTCCCAGCTACTCAGGAGGCTGAGGCAGTAGAATCATTTGAACCCAGGAGGTGGAGGTTGCAGTGAGCCGAGATCACGCTATTGCACTCCAGCCTGGTGACAGAGCGAGACTCTGTCTCAAAAAAAAAAAAAAAAGGAAGGGGGTTATGCAACATCGTGTTCTATTGATTCACTTAACCAATTTCAGAAATGATCTTTTGTTGGTAACATTAGAAGAATTCTTAATGTGTGGACTGGCTAAAATATCTCTACCCCCATCTAATCAGAGTATTAGAATCCAGGGAATCTGGTAGCCTACTACTCTGGGAGACTTGATTGCTAAAAGGCTCTATGTGCAGCCATCGGTGTGTAGCCATCGATGTGGAATATCCTTGCTATCTGATGTTGACTATAAGGGTAACAGAATCCTGCCTCTGAAGTATTGGCTTTTGTCTCCAGTGAACAGAAGTTCACGCGAGGTGTTCATCAGAGCATGTAAAAGGCCAGACAGGGGCTATGACTTCATCAAGCCTCCAGAATAGGTCATATGAGCCATTTTGTGCTCACTTTCTAGTGAATGTGTGTTTAGCAAATGCCTGCTTGTGTAGCAGAATTTGGTCTGAGAATTGCTTTCATTGTAACCCAGTAGTGAGGTTGTGTGGGAATGGCAAACTGTTACCCCCCCCCTCAAACTTTGGGTGGTTTGTGTTATCTTAAAAAAAAATAATAAAACCTAAGAGCTGTGATTATCAAATTGATTATATTCAGTTCATAGGCCCCTTCCTCACTCGCAGATATGTGTGGAGAGTGAAGGATGCTGGAGAAGCAGATAACTTGGGGAATGAATGGTTGATAAACATGCCCAACAGCACAGGTGTGTGGGGCATGGGAACGATCCCTGGATTCCCAGAATTCAATTGTGGAGGAAAACTCAACAGAGGAAGGGTGTTCAAAGGATGGGGGCTCAGGGCCATATTACTCTAGATTGTAAAAGGAAATATGACCTTATTTGGTAGTCAAAGGCTGGTGAGGACTGGAAATCCACAGGTCATATTTGAAATCACAGTCTACAACAAGAAGGCTTTTGTTGGCATTCCACTCCATATAAACATTAACATTTAAGTTATGAAGTAGACTTTCTCAGGGTAATATTGTAGAGGAAAATGTGGAGAGACTCCATGTGTTCCTGAGATGCACCCACTGCTGTGTCCCAGGCCTTTCTGACAAGTCAAACAAAGGGAAAAGCCCTAATGGAATAACCATTGAGGAAGGGGCTATCTGCATTTTGGGACTATTTGGAAGGAAGCTAGTAGAGAAGGCTTGAGAAGTGTCTGGGAGAGATGAAGATGGGAGGAAGAGCTTGAGATCTGTGTTGCCTATCGCTCCCTGGCCCAGCTCCATGAACTAGGTCTGATCTGTCTGGGCCATAGGCAAAATCAAAAGGAGACACTAGGATGTTGCACACCGTGCATTGGGCCTCAGAAACTAAGTATAACACCAAAGGGGAGAGGAAATTTTCTTTTATTGCTGTATGGATCCAACACAGAGAAAATCCAAGAGATTGCAGAGCCATGTAGGAGCTAGAGAGTCAGGGTCTACATCCTGGGTATCACCTGGAGAGTGCAGACTCAGCACAGGCATCAGCATTGTCACCCAAGACATCAGTGACAGTACTGAGGCACAACTGCCGAGGGGCGTTCAGT
The DNA here is from genome assembly GCF_000001405.40 of Homo sapiens. NCBI lineage: Eukaryota > Metazoa > Chordata > Mammalia > Primates > Hominidae > Homo > Homo sapiens. The sequence goes on from NC_000009.12 coordinate 107,217,735, forward strand.
GGACATTGACCGTGTAAGCCAGAGAGGAAGAACTTAAGATTAGGGTCATGCAGTTCGGAGCAAGAGCCAAGAAATTTTCATCTTTACCCTCAGTGTGCCTCCGTTGTACCTAAATATACAGGTAAGACTTGAGGAAATTTGAATTATATTGGAGAATCTTATTGGAATTATGATGATTTTGGATTTTTCCACAAAAGTAGAGCCCAAGACAAGCGTTTGTGCCAGTAGTTTATCTGGGAAATGATCCAGGAAAGAGAGGATAGGAGGGAACAGCACTGTGAGAGGACATTATCAAGTTGGTCACCGCTTTGTGACTAGGGCTTGACCCCACTAAGACCTTCTGAGGAGCCATGTAGAATATGCCTCATTTATCCGTCATTTATCTATCAGCTCTCATCCCCCATTAGAAAAGGGATGCCCTGTTGGGCTTTAACTCCCCTGCCCTTTCAAGGTACACATGCCTGAGTGGGTTTCCACAGCCATCTCACAGCACAGCATTTGAGAAGTCCCAGGGCAGAAAAATGTGATGCAGATGAAGTGAGGCACTGTCAGAATATATTTGTGCAAAACTAGTTGCTGCAGCAATGACTGGAGTAAAATATACACTGAGAAGCTGTGAAGATGTGAAGTGGTACACACAAGATGTCTGACAGAGTACATCTCCTGCACTGCTCAGCTCCACTCATGCCCTACATTATTAAATCCTGTTCACCAGAGAGCTCAAGGTGGTGGCCAACCACAGTCTCTACAAAGGTTTTAATATGGAAAGCTTCCTGAATAAAGCTATAGTCCCTATTGCTGCAACTGGTGGAAGGGGTTTGATGCAATCAAACTGTTACTAGGTGCCTGTTTGGTCTCTTCAAGTGATGGGGCCATTTAGAGCATTAATATCAGTCTCTGTTGTTGCCAGGTTGGGCCCTCAGCTTTAATGAGATGGAATCCAACGCCATTGCAGTCATGTATAACTTCCATCCTTGTACCATATAACCACTCCACCATAAGCCCATTGCACAGAGCTGGAGTGGCTGAGACAGAGGGTGGCTGAAATCTGCAGGACAAGTGATCTGTCAACTCAATTGATGACGGCCTCCTCCAGATGACTGTTCTTCACTGGGCATTACCATGAGACACAGAAAGCCAATGCTTTATGCTTACTTTCATGGGTCCATGGACATGCCTCTTACTTACACTTCTTGTCTTTGATCGTCCAAGCTTGCCTTTTTTAGGGCCTTGATTAACGACCCAAACCATTTGCCACTGCCCAAGACTCTACGTACATTGCCACTTCAGGGCATTTCGCCCACCATAAAAAGTAACTGCCACTGCACTGTTCTCAGCTTTACTCACTTCCCCTTTACCACTTTCTTTTAGGGGAACACCCTTCAAGGCCATGCCTGGGTGCTATATCCCCCGATCTTATGATTCTGAGGGCAGAATCATGCCCAGATCATGATGGGTAGCATCTATTCATAATTATTTGATGTCCTATAGCCAGGTACTCATTCTCTATTAGAAGCCAGAACATGCCAGGAGGTGCTCTTCAAATGGAGACTATTTCTCTGCTGCAGAAGGCATGTCCTTTGCCCCAGAACCCTACTGATGTATATTATGATGCTCTTATTGGAGTTTGCAAGAATATCCACACACCTTGTTTATCCACAACAGACTCCTTTAGCACCATTAACCTCGTTGGCTTATATCCAGCCTGGACCTGCTGCAAAGCTCTCTCTTGCTCTGGCAGTACTCCCAAGGGCTTCCCTCCAAATTCTAAGCAGCTTACCAAGCACCATGACTCTTTCTCAGTGGTAGGAGGATGCGAAGTGCAACTACTTGTCACTTATCTCAAAAAGCATGTCCTGGTAAGTCCCAGACCATTGAACTTCTAAAATATTCATTGACTTGGAAAGCCCCTTAATCTTTATGGGGTTGTCTCCTGCCCTCTGGCATGCATTTGTCCTATTAGAACATCCAGACTACTTGTCACTTCCTACTCACCAGGTCCAATTAGCATGATGTCACTAATGTAGAGGATCCTCATGACATTCTGTGAAATGCCATAATGATCAATGTTCTCGTAGACTATATTATGGCAGCAAAAAGTAAGATAACATCTCTGTGTCGAGGTAGTGAATGTATACTTGCATCCCTCCCACATGTGAACTTACTTTTGAGCCTCCTGAGTCATGGGTATTAAAGAGAATGCATTTGCCAGATTAATTACCACATACATTATACCAGAATAATGAAAGCTGTGCTGATCTACCCAGGGAAAAACTCCACATTTCTCCACAGCGTCTGTAATTGGGGCCATCATCTGCCATAACCCTATGGCTTTTATAAAAGTCATACAGATAATCAAATAGGAATATGATAAGGACCACCATCCCTACAGCCTTTAAATCTTTAATGATGACATTAGCCTCTGCAATTCCTCCCAGGGTATGGTATTGATTCTGAGTTACTATCTCAGTCACAAAAAGACAAATGAGGGGGTTCCCACAGCTTCAGGGCCTTCCACTTAGTCCTTTCTTCCCTGATGGCACAACACAGAATATGCCATAGTGTTTTCTGCCCAAGGAATGGATGGAGGTAGCCCTTGTCCACTGGCTTTTATCTCCCTATTAGTCAGGATTGCCCCTGATCTTCAATCCCTCAACCCTTCCAGATTTTGCATGCATGAGAGCTAAGTAGCCACCATATCAGTGATGTTCCAGGGCATAAGAACAGATGCAGCTGAATGGAGGTACTATCAAAATACACCTGCACAAAGCTAGTTGTCACATCTGTAATTAAAGCAAATGGTGGCCAAGAAAATGTGAGGTGGTGTACACAAGTTATCCTATATGGTGGTGCACTACCAATCTTTACTGCTTACTAATTAGTTATGACCTCCCACATCCCCATCTAATTCATTACTAATTAATTGCTACCTCTAGAATAGCACAACGTTGGCTTGCCCAACTCCTAACTTCATGATGCCATTAAGTAAAAGACTAGGCCTTCCACAAATTGTCTTGGTCCTTAGACTTTTCACATACCTCCCAAATGAAAAAGAAAGTGGGATGGGCATAGTGGCTCATGCCTGTAATCCCAGCACTTTGGAAGGTCGAGGCGGGAGGATCACTTGAGGTCAGGAGTTCAAGACCTGCCTGGCCAACAGGGTGAAACCCTATTTCTACTAAAAAATATAAAAATTAGCTGGGCCTGGTGGCACACACCTGTAATCCCACCTACTAGGGAGGCTGAGGCAGGAGAATTGCTTGAACGCAGGAGGCAGAGGTTGCAGTGAGCGGAGATCGCACCACCGCACTCCAGCCTGGGCTACAGAATGAGACTCTGTCTCAAAAGAAAAAGAAAGTGATTGAAACTTCTCTGGTGGAGGATTAGAATTCCTGGAATAGGTATATTCATTCTAACTGGGTTTATCAAATCAAAAAAGAATCCTAGTCAATTTCATGTGACCCACAGAAAGCATAGAATGCCATAGGCCCCCCTGAGAAGTGTTAGATGAGGCAGGGTCCTGAAAGATGTCGTGAAGAAGCTAGCCTCTACATTCAATTATAAAATTTAAAAAGTAAAAGCCTAGTTTTTCATAAGCTAAAAGGGAGTATATGGCCCACTTGATGAGAAGTCCCTTTCCTTCCCTAACTACTTGGAAGAAATACCCTGTCAAGTGAGTTGAGGCCCTAGGATAGGCAATTAAGTGAGCAATGAAGCCTATGACAGCAGCTTCTTGATTCCCAAGACAAAGACTGGGGAAGGAGTAGTGCCAGACCCTGAAAAGGAAGCTTAGGAATTGTCCCTGGATTGAGGCTCAGCAGGGCTGCAGTGCCGGTTCCCTGAACAACACAGAGAAGAGGAAGTTTAAAAATCCACAGGAAGAGCCTCAGTTAGGTACAAACGATAATCCTTATATTCAGAGGGATATACAGTTCATGAAACTTTTGCCTCAAGGTTTTCTTCTTTTGGTTTGATCTTAACTACAAGGGAGCAGGGGGCGTACCCTGTAGCCTCTCCTTCTGATCCCCTTCTGATGTCTAAACCTTTAAATTTGATTTTCCTTTTTTGGCCCTGAACCCTTGAAGAGCAGAAAATTAACATTGTGTTTCTAAATTTGTCCAGAACAAATGTTCACTGCTGCTGTAAGGATTCTCTTCCTACTCAGGTGTAAAGCTTTCAACCCCTGGATCAAAAGTTGATATGTTGTCCCTTTTTTGCTTATCTATCTTTTCTAAATTTTCTATAATGAACATGTTCAGGCAGTCCTTGCTTTGCACAAATTCCTGTGTGCACAAATTTCAGTTACCATGGTTTAAATAACACCAGTCCCCCAGCAACACGGTTCAAATTCCAGTTTCCACGGTATATTAACTGTGAAACTTCCCTGCTTAGTCTTGAGTACACAAATCACTACATAAATAATGGATGTACATCATCATCATTAGCCAACCACGTCCCTCCTTTCAGTTCGTCCAGGCTCGGTCACTGCACATCTGTTATTCAGTTCACTCACAGACAGCAAACCAAGGGGTTGTGCTGTCTCCTTGTCTCCCAGGGATAAACCCACATGACAGTTTACAAAAACAGGTAATCATAAGAAGCAAATGGCCCAGATGAAACACAGCAAAAGAATGAGAAGTGGTAACACTGGGAGTGAAATTTGAACCAAGCGTAAATGGAGTGATCGTAGAAATAGCTGACTGTGGAATGTGGACACTCTCTGTATCTGCAGCCTGGGAAGCTTAAAGAAGGTGAACTTACTGACACCAGTTAGAAAGTGACTGTGATGAAACGATGAAGATGCTCCAGAGGAAGTGACACCAGCAATAGGAAAAAAAAAACAAACCTCTCACTGAAGGAACTCTCGGAGATATTTCATGACACAGAAGGCACAAAGGATACAATATTGGCAACTAATCGAAACTTAGAAATGATATGACAGCTCACCAAGGCATAGAAAAAGATGCTTGCTCTATCATAAGTTATAGAATGAGAAGAAGGTAAGCACCATTCAAACTATTTTTGATAAGTTTTTTACACAGACAAAAAACCTTTAATTCTCAGTACTTCCAACATTCTAAATTACAGAGTACTAAATAAATGTGAGCTTTACTATTTTTTCATTACTCTACATATTTAGAATGGAAAGTAAGAGAAGATTTAATGTTATGACAAAATTTGTTAAAGGCTACAGGACAATCATAGTTTTTCCCATTGATCATGAAAATCACTGCAGAGTTTTAGCTTGCATGGTCATTTTTGTTGTTCCATACTACTGGCTAAAGCAGGGATTGCATGAGATGAAAAAGGTGCTTTTATTATGTGTTTTTGCTGGGCAAAATGGCTCACGCCTGTAATCCCAGCACTTTGGAAGGCTGAGGCGGGTGGATCACCTGAGGTCAGGAGTTCAAGACCAGCCTGGCCAACATGGTGAAATCTCATCTCTGCTAAAAATACAAAAATTAGCTGGGTATGGTGGCACATGCCTGTAATTCCAGCTACTCAAGAGTTTGAGGCAGGAGAATCACTTGAACCCAGGAGGCGGAGGTTGCCGTGAGCCGAGATTGCGCCACTGTGCTCCAGCCTGGGCAACAGAGTGAGATTCTGCCTAAAAAAGAAAGAAAGAAAGAAAGAGAGAGAGAGAGAGAGAGAAAGAAAGAAAGAAAATGTGTTTTTAAAAACTAACAAGGAACAGGAATGTTTTTTCTGCTACCTCGTGTTGACTAGTGTGTCTCTAAGATGAACTATATTCTTAAATAGCAAACATTTAAGAACTGATAAGCTTCCCCATACACAAGAATCGTAAATATCCAACTGCATACATGGTGCAGGTAAAATAATCTATTGCATCATTTTTACCATTTTTGGTGTAACAGAAATGGAAAAGTAATAGCTTATGAATTAGCATATTTATTTAATCTATCATTCAAAAAATACATCATCTAAACTTTTTCAACTGAAATATTTTTGGTTCTCAAAAAAATATGGAAAAAAAAATTCCCTAAAATATTCTCTAAACTTTCAGGTAGATGGGTTCTGTCTATGACTTTGCAATTTATTTATTTATTTAGAGACGGAGTCTCACTGTGTCGCCCAGGCTGGAGTACAGTGGCATGATCTCGGCTCACTGCAACCTCCACCTCCCGGGTTCAAGTGATTCTCCTGCCTCAGCCTCCCACGTAGCTGGGATTACAGGTACATGCTGCCACGTCCGGCTAATGTTTTGTATTTTTAGTAGAGACAGAATGGTCTCGATCTCCTGACCTTGTGATTCACCTGCCTCGGCCTCCCAAAGTGCTGGGATTACCAGCATGAGCCACCACACCCAGCCTGCAATTTATTTTTTAATAGATATCCATCCTAGCGTTTTCCAGGACCTGAAAGCTTTCATGAAAAAATAAATGTATTAAATATCTTCTATGTTTGAGGAGCTGTAATAGATTTGGGGAATATAGAAATGTTGCAAATGCTTAATTTTCAGTCTAGTATCCTGTAAAATGTTGTGTTTCTGGTAATGCTTGGGAGATTTTATCATTTTGGAAATGCTTTTGCTTAATTAGATTCGCTAGTGTTCTAGGAGCCAAGGATTCACAGACTGCACTTTTAAAGGGATGATATTTTCACATTTCCTTAGTACAGTTCTTTTAGTAACAATATTTATATAAAAATTATTATGACGTGTGAGTCATAATATTTGTTTTAATTCTCAAATTACCTGGTAACCACTGTTAATAGTTTGGTATATAAACACTAAGAGAGCCAGTAAGTAATTTGTTGTATTTACATTTGTACTTTTCTCTGTGCTATTACACACACTTACACACACACACACATACACATCTCACATGTACATAAATAGGTTAAAATTTATATCCTTTCTTCCAAGGAAAATGAGATTATCCTATAGACAGGTGTCTGAAACTTGCTTATTCACCTGTGAGTACATCACAAGTATCTCTTCAAATTAATACATGAATATCTAACTCACTATTTTTAATAGCTGCAAAATATTTCTCAGTATGGGAAGAGCATAATTTATTCAATGATCTCGCTACTGATGGACATTCACATTTAAATTTTGTCTGTTTTTTTTTAACCCCTATAAACGAAACTACAATAAACATTCATGTGTGCACACACATACATGGTATATTTTTGTGGATAGCCTCTGTAGCTGACTCTTCAACATCCACTCCCAGATAAACAGTCAAAGCCAAGGATAATTCTATCCCTTTGTTAACGATTGGTGATAAATGGACAAATGTCCATGATAAATGGACCCAGTTCTGGACAGTGAATGTGAGGGGAAGTTGATCATGGAAGTTGTGAGATATGATTCATAAAACTGCTTCAAGGCCGGGCGCGGTGGCTCACGCCTGTAATCTCAGCGCTTTGGGAGGCCAAGGTGGGCAGATCACGAGGTCAGGAGATCAAGAACATCCTGGCTAACACGGTGAAGCCAGTCTCTACTAAAATTACAAAAAATTAGCTGGGTGTGATGGCCCATGCCTGTAATCTCAGCTACTTGGGAGGCTGAGGCAGGAGAATAGCTTGAACCTGGAGGCAGAGGTTGCAGTGAACCAAGATCGCGCCACTGCACTCCACTCCAACCTGGGCAACAGAGCAAGACTCTGTCTCAAAACAAAACAAAACAAAAAAAAACACCTGCTTCAAACACCATGTTCCAACTCAAAGATAAAAATGACAAGGAGGGTAAAGAAAAGAGAAAGAGCCGGGATACTCAATGACATTTTGGCACACTGAATTAACCAACCTTAGCGTCTACTCTGTTTTCTGGGCTTCCTTTCAGGTGAGAGATACATTTCTTACTATTTAAGCCAATTTAGTTTTTCTGTTTGTTATAGCAAAGAACACATCCTATCAGACATACCTCATGTATAGTTTTATTTCTGTGACAAAAATTTCCAAAAGAGGGTTTGCTGTATTTTTACTGTATTTGAGTCTGACAGATTACAATCCAAAAATACTGTAACAATGCATACTTCTATCAGCAATGGTATATAGGAATGCCTATTTTCCCCATACTTTCACAAGGAAAGGAAAGTATCAACTATATGAATTGTAATTCAGTTTCAAGTAATAGGTAACTAACCCAAAGGGGCTTAAATTTAAAAGGGAGGTTATTTGGCTCATATAACTGAACAGTCCAAGAGTAGATGTGTATTCAGATAGGGCTTGGTTCACAATATATGTGAATCAATCCATGGAACAGAAGAATTAATGCAGGACAAGGAAAAAGAAATATATAAATATATAAAAATATATATAATATAAAATATATAAATATATAAATATATATGTGCACATGTGACACCACTATTTTAAATTTTTCCCAATATATGAAAAATATGGCATTTTACTAGCATTTTTCTAAGCAAAGTTAGTCGAAGTGAGATTTGAATACAAATCAAATGACTCAGAAATTCTTTTACCTATACCCTGTATTATATCCTTCACATCAGCTCCATTTGAAATCCTGAACTATAGAAAGCCATGAAAGAAATAAAATACTGTCTAGCAGTTCTATGAAGATTACAAAAGATTTAGAAATTCTGCCTGGGAAAACTTAGTGATATGCTAAATTTTTACAGCCTATAAAATAATGTATCTTCTCAAGAACAATTAAGGGTTTAATTGTTGCCTTTTGTTGAGGAAGAATCATGGAAAGATATTGAGTAGCAGGCAGAGGAAAGGAATCAAATTAGAGCCAGAAGGAATCAGTTTAGTCACAAAAATTCTGTTTCTCAACAGAAAAGGTCCCACACAGGGCTGGGTGTAGTAGGTCTGTGTTGCTTGTCTGCCCTGCACCCTCCTCCGGTTCACATGGTCCTGATGGAATTGTGAAAGATTGCCTCATCATCCTCAACTCGAGAGCCATCATGTGACCCAGGCCAACCAATCAATATGCCCCATCCCTCTGGTCATAGTGAATGGTTCTAAGATGGGCATGTGACATAAGTGGAGCCCATTAGAATCCTCCTTAGGACTTTTCTGCCAGAGTAATTAGAAGAGAATATCTCTTTTCCATTGGGGTTGATAGCCTGTCATCTTCATGAAGCCAGCTGTAGCCCTGAATTTCCAATTCGTGTGGTCAACAAATTTCTTATTTTGCCAGGGTTGCTTTGTTCAGTTTTCTGTTCTCCAACAAAATGTTTTTAAGCAATATTGTGGGTCACTCACAAGTCTGTTGTTGCTCCTTCTTCTGAGGCTATTAATATGAGAGAACTTATGTGCAGAAGGAGGATGGTCAAATGACACCTCTAGAGGTTGGTTGCATCTCATCAGGGATCTGTCTGATGGTGGATGTAATGGAAATAAAAGAGAATGCAGGGCTGGTGTGATTCTCACTTCAAATTCCCAGAAACTCATTCATTGACCCCACATTCTTTAAATACGATTTCAGAACTCATAGGTGAGACATATTTAAGTGATTTACAATACATAATGAATAAAGCTATAATCTTTTTTTCCTTTGAGAAAAAAAAGAAAAGAAAAGTTGATTCCTATTTACAATTATTCACACAAACCAGATTCTGGACCAAGTGTCAACTGCTGTGTGATTAGCCAAAAGAGTACTTCTTAAACAGTCCTTTCTAAAACTCAGCTAGTCAAGCCAATTTATCCATCAGGATGTGAGTTGGAAGCCAGGCTATGATGGTTAGAACCATAGCCAAATTAAAGCCTTTCTGAGAGCCTTTGTAACTTGGGGTTTGAAGGGAACAGAAGGAGCTGAACTGAGCTCTAACCCGAAGGTGTTTAGATTCTATGGAGAAGGAGAATAACGTCAGACTATGATAAGAATGGCCACCATTTGTGGAGCTGCTTCTACAGGCTAGGTACACTGCACGTTTTATCCCATTTAATCCTCACAACGATTTTGTAAAGGAGGCATAGTTAACCCATGAGTATTCACATGGGGAAACTGAGGCTCACAGAAATCAAGGTTTGTCCAGAGTTACATAACTGGTACATGAAGGATCTAGGCGTCATGTTCAGTTCTAGCTTGTCCAAGGTCTGTGCTTTGGGTCTCTTCCCTAAACTCCATGTTTTTCTCACAGCGTTATGTGGCCATCTACAGCTGAGTTTATTAAGTTTTGACTTAAGGCATTCCTTCCGGAACTAGATTTCTAGCCAAGACCTCTGAAGGAATCAGATTGCATCCACAGTTACTACAGTATTTCTTGGTCTTCTCTTCCAGAAGGGTGTTCTTCTAGAGGAACTGTTTACTGACTTGAAATGCTGTTATAAAATCTCAGTTCAAAGGTTGTGTATCTCCCAGGAAACAAATGGCTTTTTTATTCTTCGCCACTAGCTTAACACTGCATTATAGCTGCTCATAACAAGTCATGGTATGCTAATTTATGAGTCACATGACACAGTCAATTCATATTATAGACATTGCCCTGATTATATGTCTCCTTAACTGAAATGTTTACATAGTTGTGATGGAATCAATTTTATTAATTTTACAGCATTCACAGGTTTCTCCTCTTCCCAAGACTGCCAGAGAGATCCTGTAATTACCTGCCCGGTTTTTCTTCTTAGGAGACATGAGAAAAGAATAGAATTCCTCCAATTATTTTCTGCTTGTTTGTGCCTCTGTAAATTTGACTCTTCTCAGAGATGAAACCACCTGGGACACAGCTTCTTTAGAGTTGCACAGTGACACCTGCAAATAGTTAGCAGTGCACCAGGTACAGAAGCACACACACCTGGTGGCAGGGCAAGATGGGGTGATTCCTGGAGCCAGATCATCCCTGATGTGTTCCTTGCAGTGTTATCAGGGGGATTACAGGAAATAACATACACAAAAAACTGTTTCTTAACTGCAAAGCACTGTGCAAACGTGAGCTGTTAAGCCAGGTGGTGTGTGCAATGGAGATCACCTTTTGCCGGGGGGTAATCATTTCAGTTTACATAACACTTATCACTCCAGGAGCCCCAAGCCCTTGTGAATATTATCCTGAGAAATATCACTTGAAATGAAATGCGCATGCATAAACAGAGTCTAGCAAATGGAGGCACCAATTATGATGACAATGACGAAGGTCTTAAATGAGAACATAAACATTTTGACATGTCAGCTCCCAAGGATGTTGCCACTGTAGTCACAACACCTTCTGAGGGAAAATCAATTCTCAACGTTAATGTTTCCCATGAGTGTTGACTCCTCGGGGGATGGGGGAGGAAGAGGGAAACAAAAGTGGAAAAACATTTTAAAATATGAATTTTATTTTCCATAGCAGTATATCAGAAAACTCAAATATAACTCCACAACTTTTTCAAGAGTTTCTTTTTGTTTTCCAATGGTAACGGGAGAGAAAATAAGCTGTCATTATCGGAATGATCAAACACAGAGAGAAAAGAGGCAGAGGTAAGTAAAACACCAATTACAGTGTTGCCAATCTGTGTGAATTGGGATTCTTCCAAACAACAGTGCAAATGGATTTGAGGATGTGGGGAAGGGGATACGGAGGGGGCAGGGAAGAGAGAGCTGCCAAAATACAAGACAGGGAGGCTTAGAGAAATTGCCCCTTGGCGCTCTGGCAGCAGTTTAATCAGCCAGAGCCCTGTACATTCCCATGCACCAATTCCATTGTGTATGTTCACTTGCAGATTTGGCTTCTGGCTTGCTCTCTTTGTTTGGGTAGCTAGGCATGAAAAAGAATCATCTGCAACCAGAGCTCAACTTAATTCCCAGTTCCTCTCTGGAAACTATCTGTTGGCATCATGAAATGTTCTGTGTAAAAGGCCATGCTTTGACTGATCAAAAGTGGGATTTCAGACCCTCCATCAGAGTCTTTGTGGATGAAACTCAGCCAATTCTCGGAAAGTGACAGAAGAGGCCTGCACCTCTGGCATAATTTGCGTCTCCCCAGCATCTCACTGTTCCTGCCAATGACAAACAGGAACCCCCGACAATTTTTCCTCTCTCTCCTGGCAATGCAATGATGGCCCAGCTGTTTTCTCACTATAAAAAGGCAGTCACTTCTCTCTATCACTACAGTCTATAGCAAAAGGTCTACTTACATTACTGATTGAACAACCATGTATCATATGAAAAACCACAAAAGAAATTCACAGGAGAGGCTCTAAGATTGCTGATCATTTTATCCACATCCCAGTGTCTACATCTGAGCATGGTGCTCGGTAGATATTGCATGAATGAAGGACAAGAAATTTGGAAAAATACTGCATTGTCTACTGTTTTCAGAAATATTTATGCAGGGTAATTTTAATGTCTGCCATTTTCCCTTGGGTCAGGGAAGCCACTGTATGATATTATAATTGCTTTGATTTGTATCGTGTTACCTACTAGGTTCAAGACACATTCAGGAGTGTTCTGAAAAACATAATAGAAATTGACAGAAAAAAGTGACTGAATAGACTTTCAGAAAATATGAAAGATTGAATACAGAAGTTTGTTTTCCCTTTTCCAAGCCCCTCTAAAATGACAGGAAAAATAAAAATAAAACATGGATCCCCCAAAACAAAGGAAACAGAAAGGGAAATGACCACAGATGATAGACAGCCACAAAATTTTGGACATGGCAACCCAAGAGGAGAGAGGGATGAGGCTACAGGAGGAGGAGTCAACCAGAAGAAGCAAACCAATTTATAGCTCAGAATCCCCAGAAAGTGTCAGGAATTGAGGATGCCAGCTGCCTCTGAAGGCAAATTGAAAACAAGACAATCAATTAAAAATCTTTGTAAGGAGTAGGCAAATTCTGAGGTCTCCTAATCAACCCTTTGTGGCCAGGTAGCCAACTCTCCCTACTCCAGCAGAGCACCAAAGATGTCCTCCCTGGAGATGTGGATGAATAGGTATTCCAGACTTGGGAACACCAGACACAGCTGAGGTACCACAATTAAATGGAGAAACTAAGCAAAAAATCACATTATAAACAAAAAATCTGACCCAACTCCACGCCCTTCTTTATGTCAATTCTCAGAAATACTGCATTGTCATTAAAGCTTAGAACTGTAGACAGGAGAGAGAAAACTAGTCATAAATAACTAGAAATAAGAATAGCATCATCTTCTCAATAGCAACAACGGCAGCTTGATCTCAATTTACTCTGATTCAATCCCACCCTCACACACCTCAAAATACTTGGTTCTGTGGCTTTGACTTCATGCATAGACTCCTATAAAATACTAGTGCTTGCCTCTTAAAGCATAGCATATCCATCCAGCCCCTGTGACCAAAGAAATGGTCTTGGCTCTCATCCTAAAGAGATATTAAGAAGCAGCCTTAACAAAGGAAAAGACCAGCATGGATTGTGCCCCTAGACCTTCTATTCTTTGGATAGTACTTTACCCTTAATTCCCTGTTCTCCTCTTTTGATTATAACCTAATTGGCAACTGTAGCAGCCAATCTCAGATATGTTCTTGATTTCTGCAATGTAGCCAAAGGCGGATTTCATCACATTCTCCTTTTTTTACTTTTTGCTGGTGATGGAAGGAGCAATTGGTTCATGAGCTTGGTTTGATGATTAAATAAATGGCTTGGTGACATTTGGAGTGTCAGCTTTCCAGATCTGCAATCACCACAAAACTGCAGACACAGATAACGAACCTGGGGTGGAGTTGCTGGGTTCAGAGACCATAGATTGGATATTACCTCACCATTAGAACATCAGTCTTGATTTCCCTTTCTTGGCTGCATTTAGAGGCTAGATGCCCGCTCCTCCACAACTATGTAATGGAGACAAGAAGGTGGTACAAAGAAAGTCCACCACAGTTTATGGAGCCTGCAGAAGCCAGTGTGCTTGACACACACTGTCATCCTGTTGTTGCAAGTATTCTTTTTATAGTGGAGGAGGAGGACGAAGAGGAGGAGATCACATTTTAAAAAGAATGATCTCATCTTTTTAGGTGAGAAGATGGAGAAGATGAATACATTTGCTTTCAGCAAACCAATGGAAGTCCATTTGCATGATCTGAAAAGGAAAATGAGAAGCTAATTTTTCTATACAAGGCAGAATTTAAGAAATACAATTCCTAAGGACTCCAGTGGATACAGCTCTGGTTCCTGGACTTCGTGTTTTGGCTTGGTCTTTCTGCTTTTTCAATTTTGTCACTGGTAAGACTGGCCCCACCTCACCCATGAGGAGCACATTTTCAAGGTTAAAATGCTGAGTTAATTAGAGAAAGTGGTGTTATTAACTGAATGGCAATAGAGAAGCAGCAGCAATTGAGGGAAAGGAGATGATAAGTTGTTTTGGGGCATGGTGAATTTGAGATATCTTGCAGAACATTCAGATCAAGGTTCTTATGACCCCTGAAGTTGTCACGTGTTAACCAGAAAACAGATCTGCCAGGTGCGGTGGTTCACACCTGTAATCCCAACACATTGGGAGGTCGAGGCGGGAAGATCACTTGAGGCCAGAAGTTCAAGACCAGCCTGGCCAACATGGCAAAACCTTGTCTCTACTAAAAATGCAAAAAATTAGCCTGGTGTGGTGGCAGGTGCCTGTAATCCCAGCTACTTGGGAGGCTGAGGCATGATAATCATTTGAACCTGGGAGGCAAAGGTTGCAGTGAGCCAAGATTGCACCACTGCTCTCCAGCCTGGGCAACAGAGTAAGAGTCTGCCTCAAAAAATAAAATAAAATAAAATAAAATAAAATAAAATAAAATAAAATAAAATAAAATAAAGGAAAAGAAAACTGGGATCTGAGCTAGGGCATCAATCAAGTTTAGTCTGGTAGATTTGATTAGAGGATAAAATTAAAGTCTTAATCTTTTATAAAACCATCAAGGGATAAGGTAAAGAGTTTTTTCTAAAAAAAAAAAAAAAAAAGGCTGTTTCAGTCAGGCCACAGCTAGATTATGCTACAGTAACAAACAACCCCAAAATCTCAGTGACTTAATACATGACAGTTTTATTTCTCATCCATTCTTTATGTCAAGAGCTGACTATGAGTTCTGCTCAGCATCATCTCGCCCTGGGATTTGAGCTGATGAGCAAACCACCCACCTGGAACATTGCTAGTTTCTACAGCAGAAAAAAAGGAGGATCTCACGCTGGCAATTAGATATTCTAGCCCAGATATGACAGACATTATCTTGCTCATATATCAAAGGCCAGGAGTCATCACATAGCCCCACTCAACCACCAAGGAGGCAGGAAATATCATCCAACCATGAGTCTGGAAAAAGGCGTGCTGCCATCAGTGAGCCATGTTAATAACTACTTTAAGGCCCAGGGCAGAATTCGTATAAACATGCTGCTTCAGAGATGTAAGAACTAAGAGTTAGCATAGAAAGAAGTTAATGAAAGAACCATCAGACATAGGAGGAGGACCAAAAAAGCAAGAGTCATGGATGACCAGGAGGAAGAAGAGACAGTGAAGAAAGATGCAAGTGATCAATGCAGTAGTTTCTGATAGGAAGGTGCACCATGCACAGTTAAGACAGACAGATTTAAGAAGGCCAACCAGCTGTCTCACAAGGGGAGCTTCAAAATGGCACTCATCTCCTTGATGGATTTCTCAGGATCGCAGTTTCCTTGCCTCAGCCCAACCCTAACACCACATCTAACCTTAGTTATTATGATGCACACGTGGGGTTGCCTGTTGCCACTGAACATTCTAAATGTCTAATCCAAACTCTCTTGCTCTGGTGTCATTCTTATTAAGCAAACTACTGTTTATGGTTTGGCTTCCCTTGAATATCTATCTTCGGTAAGAGAAAATGTTAGTCATACAGACTTAGAGCATTTCAGACCACATGACAACTCCACTATTAATTGGGTAAGTTTAAAACCCAGTATTCTGATACTTCAGTGTGATGAACTTGGTATATATGAGTCTCCCGCCAAATGGTTCCACCCCTGATATGCAGGCAAATATAAGGCCCATGAGCTTTATGTGTAATATCTGATTTTTCTATGAGCATTTAGCAGTAAAGAAAAAGCCAATAAAGGCAAATTTCCTATTGAAGAGAGACAGAGGGGAGAATAAAAAGGAGAATTCAAGAAGGGGGAGAGCTGGATAACAAGGAATTAAGCAATAAATGAAATAGGGAAAACAGAGACCATGAGTGGAGACTGCAATTTCAGACATTTAAAGAGCTTGGTGGCCTTTTTGTTTTTGCTGAATTTAAAATGGGACTGCAGGTCCAGTGCGGTTGCTCACCCCTGTAATCCCAACACTTTGGGAGGCCAAGGAAGGCAGATCACTTGCGGTCAGAGGTTCGAAACCAGCCTGGCCAACATAGTGAAACCCTGTCTCTACTAAAAATACAAAAATTAGCTGGGCATTGTGGCCGATGCCTGTAATCCCAGTTACTTGGGAGGCTGAGGCAGGAGAATCACTTGAACCTGGGAGGCAGAGGTTGCAGTGAGCCAAGGTCGCACCACTGCACTCCAGCCTGGGCAACAGAGCGAGACTCCATCTCAAAAAATAAATTAATTAATTAAGTAAAATAAAATGGGACTGTAATTGTTTACAGATTACAAAGTGAGTATAATTTGGCAAAAAATTTAAGGTTATTGATGGTGGGATGAAAATACCAAACCTGATTACATGCCAGAAGACAAATGTGTATCAGATTTTTCTATTTCTAAAAATAAGCATGCTATGAATTGCTACATAAATTATATTAGGGTAAGATTATATACTACAATACTGTATACAATAATAGGCATTATAATATAATAAATTATAACTCATTATAAACTGATACAATACACTTCAGTCATCAAAACTAGATTGTTAGTGAGTATTACACGACACAGGAAAAAAAGATGGCTGCTATATAATCTTCAGGGAGTAAAACAGCAGGATTTTTTCAGAGTATGTGCACTATTTTATCAGCTTTGAAAAGTAGAAAAGACTGGGAAATCTTAAGAATGAGTATGGAAGTGACAGTGTGATTATGACTGATTTTTATTTTATTCTTTATACTTCCCTGTGATATTCAAATTTTCTATAATGAACTTAGAGTTCTTTTATGATAATGTAAATTATATAGAGAAGCATGCTTCCATTAGCAATTCTGTTTTTAAATTATTTTTGTTAGTTATACTGGAATTAAAAACTCATTCAATACATTAAATGTAACATTCTTAAATGCTGAGGGTATATATACTCCCAGCTGCTTTTAAAATGAAGTTGTAATTAGATGGAATAAGAGAATTGAGACTACAAAAGCTCTCTGAAGGTAATAGCAAAGGCGTAAAATACCCTATTTCAAATATTGTGAAATACTGTATGAATGGCAATCTTTGGGATGTATTTTACAAAATACCACACATATAAATTAAAACTTGACTTTAGATCCGCTCGTAGGTTTTAATACAAATAAGCAAACCAATAATGAAAATAAGATTATAGAGGCAACAGTGCACCTGCCAAGGAGAATATATTTTCTTTTCTTTTTTCAAGACAGAGTCTCACTCTGACACCCAGGCTGGAGTGCAGTGACACAATCACAGCTCACTGCAGCCTCAATCTCCAGAGCTCAAGTGATCCTCCTACCTCAGCCTCCAAGTATCTGGGACTGTAGGCACATGCCACCACGCCTGGCTAATTTTTTTTTATTTTTTATTTTTTAGGGATGGTGTTTCACTATGCTGCCCAGGCAGGTCTCAAACTCCGGGACTCATGTGATCTTCCCACCTTGGCCTCCTGAAGTGCTGGGATTACAGGCTTGAGCCACCACACTGGGCCTATACCATTTTCAAATAGTGGAGCCATCCATTACATATTTGTAACATATGTGTTGATTAACAATTAATACTCTTAGTTCCAAGCTCCATTTGGCAATATAAAATAAATGGAGGGTTTGCTCACATCTGATGGATATGACTTTCTCTGTGAAGACTGAAGCAAGATCATCTGAGTGTAAGGAGGCAGTATAAGTTCGGAAATTAAGGAAGGTAGAGATGCTTAAGGTAGCTTTGCAGAGAATAGGAGCGCATGTCCACCAGACAGATGTTATAGAATTGCCATGGCTTGAAGTTTGAAACCCAGCTGTGGATGATTGAGATGATTCATGTATTTAATGATACTAATAGAATGATACCCGTGAGCAAGCTGGATTCCTAGGATGCAAAAAGAAAATAGCTTTATTCTTCACCTTCAACTGCCCATTTGAATCTTCTTTTAGGCCAGTTCTTTTCCCCTCCCCAACTTCAAATGAAATAATAGAAAGGTCTTTGGACTCTCTGATCATCTCAGATAATAAAATGCCCTCTGGTCACTTCAGTTCCAAACCACAACCTCGGTTTATAAATTAATCTGCCCAGAAACTCCCAACTTCATCGTAGGCTTGGCAATGCTTTAGACTAAGGGGCCTATAGTGGGGAATGAGATACCCATCTCTGTGTTCCCTTTAATGCTACTTCTCCATGACCCTGACTTTGTTTCCCCAGCACTTAGCTACCAATGGGTCTTCCAGGATGGGAAGCAGAGACAGCAGGAAGGGAAGAGGAAGAAAGGTCTTATTTGACCTACATAGGTATAAGCTGGTGTAGCTGCCCTCTGGCTCTGGCTGATGTTTCAAGCTGACTTTTATGCTCTCATCTCAGTATCTGTAGCCTCCTCAGACACTCACCTTCTGGACCTGTCCAACTGGAATTCCTTCACTCAGGTAGTGCCTCCCCTTTAAGCAGCTGTTTACAATCTCCCTCTACTTCTCCATCCAGTGAAACCTTCAACCTCTTTTTGTCAAGGACACCTCATCCATTCCAGGAAGCCCTCTGGGTTAGAATTCCTTATAAAACAACTCAGACTCACATTCCTACTGTGGATTTTATTTGGTCCCCAGAAAAATACAACTTTGGCCTGGCATAAGCCAAAAAGTGCTTACTTCCTAAGTGCAGCCCTCTGCTGTGCTGATACTGTTCACTTCAGCCAGCCTCTCACTCAAAGGCTTTCTCTTTTGGCATAAGTCAATTCCTGCCCGTGTCTCCAAGTTTCAAAAGATACCTAACAAGATCTCTTTGAAGTTCTCACATGATGGAGGGTCTGGGGATGGGGTGGTAAGGAGTGTCAAATAGGAAGAATTCACAGCTAAAGGTAAAGTACAGATCACAAAACCTATTTTCATGCACGTTCTTTAGAAGTCTTTGATAGATGGGCTAATACTTTGCCTTGGAATTTGACAGTATTTGGCATCTTTGGTTTTGGGGCCCAGTGAAAACTAGAACGAAGAGTTCTATTTTAACTCTATCTTCCTTCTGTGCAATTTCTCCGGTACTGTTCAGCCTCCTAGTAGAAGAGAAAGATGGTTGGGTCTAAGTTGTATCAAATAGAAATGATAAAAAATAGAGTAGCAAGGGGCTTTGGGCTCTGGCAAGAGTGACTGAATTGATGCATCATAGAATCAAACTGGAGAAGGAAGAAAGGAAGAAGATTAGTGGCCTAAAGGGCTCAGGAAGTTGGAGAATGTAGAAATAGTTGAGTAAACATTCTGGAAAGATACTTTAACAGCTGATTGGCTAAAGGAAAGGGAAACGAGATACAGTGGAATGGTCTTTGGGATTTGGAGCCTTATGGATGAGACAGATTATGGAATCATTCACAGGATTAGAGTACTGGGGAAGAGAACTGGTTTTCAGGGCATAATGATAAACTTCATTTTGAATAAACTGAACAGGAGAGGATAATGAGACATCTAAGTGGCATAGAGGGCTGGAGTTCAGAAGAAACACAGGATTCAAGATATGCCTTTCAGAGTGAAGACCAGAAACATTATTGGGGGTCAGGATTCAGTGATACCTCCAAAGGAGAAAATGTGAAGACTGAAATGCAGGGGTTGAGGACCATTTTGTTAAAGGAAAGGGTATAATGAGAACCTGTTAACACAGAAGAAATGGAGTTCTCTGTCATTCAAGACAAAGAGCTGCATCTGAGTCAAGGTAATCTGCTCTGAATAGTGCTTCATCCAAAAATATCTCCTCTTTTTTTCCCAATCATCTTTATTGTCTGGTTATGCAAGTAAACCTTCTACCTCTTAAGCCTCAGGTTCCACATCCATAAAATGAATACAATATTACTATCTACCTTCCATGGCTGTGATGAGGATATAGTGAGGCAAGGGGTGATATGCCTGGCACAGAGTACAAACCCAACCAATGTGAGCTACCCTTATCATTGTCATTATTATTATTCGTCACATTTGCCTCTGTTTAATCAATAATCATTCCTTTACAAGATGAGTATCCCAAACTTACTTCCAAATACTTTGTCATTTTTTTCACTCCTCACTTAGCCTTTCTGTCTGATTCAAATGGCACGGGGAAAGAGAGAATGACTCAAACATCACAGATTGCTGTTACCCTGGCATGGTTAAGATAATTATGTCGCCATCAGGATACTGGTTTGACTCTGAAGTCTCATGTTCAGTGGTTACTGTTTCCTCTCAGGGACTGTGCTTAAGGTTTAGAGAAATCGTCGTCATCTAGATGATCGTTGCTCAATTGAAACATTTATTTGCTATATTAGTTTTCTATTGCTGTGTAACAAATTTAATGCCTTTAAACAACACCCCATGTATTAGCTCACAGTTCTGTAGGTCTGAAATCTGGGCACCACATGGCTGAAATCAAAGTGTAAGTTGTGCTGTGGTTCCCCTGGGATGCAAGACCCTCCTACAAGCTCATAGTTGCTAGAATTCAGTTCTGCGTGGTTGTAGGACTAAGGTTCTGTTTTCTTAAGAGCTGTTGGCTGGGGATCTCTCTCAGTTCCTAGAGGCTGCTCCTCTCCATCAGCAATTCGCTACATAGCTGTATGCTTTCTTCCAGGCCAGCAATTACATTTCTCTCTGATTTCTTCCTCTGCTACCAGTCAGAGAAAATGCTCTGCTCTTAAAGGACTCACCTGATTGGTGCAGGCCACCCAAGACAACCTCCCAATTGCCATAAACATCACAATTAAGAGACTGATACCTCATCAGATTCCTATCTTCCACCTACACTCAAAGAGGAGGAGATTACACAAGGGCAAGGGTGGTTGGAGGCCATCTTAGAATTCTGTCTACCACATTTACTTATGGAACAGCGTTTATGCCCTAGGCATTGCACAAAGCACTGTAGGGACAAAGATACATTACAGTTGCCTTTGAGATGTTCATGCTGTAGTCCAGCACTATCAAATACAGAAGCCATTAACCACATGTGGCTACTGAGCATTTGAAATGTGATTGATCTAAATTGTGCTGTGCTGTAAATGTCAAATGCACAGAGGATTTCAAAGAATTAGTAGCAAAACAGACTGTAAAATATCTCATTAATATTTGTGTAATGACTACATATTAAAGTGATAACATTTAGGAGATGTCGATTTAAATAAAATATATTATTAAAATGAATTTCATCTGTTCTGTTTACTTTTGTAAAGTGTCTACCAGGGAACTTCCAATCACATAAGTGGCTCGCATTATGTTTCTATTGGACAGTGCTGGTCTATGTCAAGAAAAACAATAATCACTTCAGAGTGTACTAGGTGCCATAACAGGAGAAGCCAGCAGTGTTTTGGGGTCACAAGAGGGAGTGGTCAGTTTAGCTGGGGAAGAGAGTGAAAATAGGAAAGACTTCAACTGCTTGGTTTCCCATTCATAGCAGACAAGGTAGAGCCTGATTTTCTATGCAAAAAATCCTTTCCCAAGAGATAGAAATTCTTTATATAAAACTGCAGAGTAATTACTAGAGACTTTTTATTTTAGAAGGCACAATTCAGAGCAAAATTTTAAAACAAATACAAATGCCCAAATGCACATTAGCACTTCTCTGACAAACTTTTAACTGTTCTGCCTCCGCCTGCACCTTTCTTGTCTTTCTCTTGGACACCAGCAGGCAGCTAATTCCCTCTCTCTGAGCTACTTTGTAGGGTCAAAACTTCCAGTTGCTCATCACAAAGAGCAGCCTGTCTTCAAAATTCCTCATAAGCAGTGATTCTCTGGCTTTTGATCTCTCCAATAGAGGGCAGCTATTACCAGCTTAATTGGAGTGTAATTACCTTCTCGGCCCTCCCACTTAGTTCAAAGAGGTCTCTTTGGCTTCCTAGCTTATGACAAATCAGAAAAAGAAATATTGAAATGTGATCTATAAAACTTTTTTCTATGGTGGCTTTTTGTCCCATTGGGAGTTTCTCTATCAGTTTTTGTTGTTGTTGTTTTTGGACTAGGCCATACTTCCCATAAGGACCCACGTGAATATTTTGTACTCATTAGACAAATACTTTTACACGCAAATAGTTAATACTTGTTAAGTACATGCTATGTATTAGATGCCTTGCTAAGTACATCCTCTCATTTAATCTTTTCAGCTCAAAAAGGTAACAATAATAACATAATACTAAAAGTTAGAGTGCTTGCTATATGCCAGGTACTTTTCTAATCTCCTTTTATTTGTGATGAGTTAATTTAAGGAGTTAAGGCTCAAGTGAGCTAAGAGATGGGAAATGCTAAGAACAGTGTCTAGCACTAAGTATTCAATAAATGTTAATTAATATTTAATCCTCGCAAAGACGCTGTGTCATAAAAAATATTGCTATCATTCCTATTTTACAGATAAGT
This sequence comes from Homo sapiens, assembly GCF_000001405.40. Taxonomy (NCBI): domain Eukaryota; kingdom Metazoa; phylum Chordata; class Mammalia; order Primates; family Hominidae; genus Homo; species Homo sapiens. Next base: position 107,240,284 of record NC_000009.12, read on the forward strand.
AAACTGAGGCTTAAAGAGCTTAAGGTCCTTGCCCTAGATCAGTTGTTCTCAATCTTTAATGTGCCCCAAATATCATCTGGAGGGTTTGTGAAAACACAGATTGCTGGGCCCCACCCCGAGATTCTCATGCAGTAGGTCTCCAGCAGGCCTTGGGGATTTGCATTTCTAACAAGTTCCCCAGTGATGCCCATGATGCTGCCCAGAGGAGCTCACTGCTCTAGATCATTGAGTTAATAAAGATTTCACCCCTGGCTGGGCACGGTGGCTCATGCCTGTAATCCCAGCACTTTGTGAGGGGGAGGTGGGTGGATCACCTGATGTCAGGAGTTTGAGACCAGCCTAGTCAACATGGTGAAACCCCATCTGTACTAAAAATACAAAAATTAGCCAGGCATGTTTGTAGGTGCCTGTAATCCTAGATACTTGGGAGGCTGAGGCACGAGAATCGCTTGAACCCTGGAGGCAGAGGTTGCAGTGAGAAGAGATTGCACCACTGCACTCCAGCCTGGGCAACAAGAGAGAAACTCCCTCTCAAAAAAAAAAAAAAAGAAAAAGAAAGATTTCACCCCAGCTCTTCATACTCTGCACGAGTATTCAACACTCTCTCTTTGTCAGGTTATATTAATGGAGCTTGAAATGTCTAACATTCAAGCTAATGTCAGAACATAGACAACTTTAAGTAAACCATAAAAGATTTTAAAGAGACAGTAGAAAATGACTGGCTTACATCAGATATTGGAAAAGTCTGAACCAAACAGAGCATCAGCTCTCTTTCTAAGGAGCATGCCATTCATAGATTCTCATGAATAAGGGTACTTTGCTCACTTCCAGCAACTCCATTTTTTAAAGTTTTCTGTTTTAGCAACTCATAGATGAGTTTTAGCTACCCATGTATGCTGGCAAAGCTGAGTATTATCTTTCCTGGCTATGTATGTAGATGGACCGTGGCATGTAACTTATGGCTTGTTTGTGTAGAAGAGTGATACACAACACCTTCATGAGAAGTGTTTTTCTGCAGAGAGGAAAGGAGCGCTGTGGGATTGAGAGGAATTTACAATGCTTTTAATTAAAAACCAATGTTTTTGTTCTTAAAAAAATTTTTGAAGCAATTCTAGCAAAATGTTGGTATTTGTTAAAACTGACTGGTAAGTACACAGGCATTTATTATACTCTTCTGGATATTTTTCTAAATCTTTGAAATGTTTTATAACTACATATTTTTTAAAGGCCCAAGGCCTACTATTTACTACAAAAAAATAAAAACGACAAAAACACAGGGAGCACAAGCAGATACAGCCCCAGCTCCCACAGGAGTCACTGCCCCCTGAAGGAAGGAAGTAGCCCATAATCAAATAATCATAGATAGGCACATAGTTACAAACTGCGATCAGTTTTACAAAGCTAAGGGCTGGAGTGCTATGAAAGCTTCTAACTCTGGTACCTGACTAGGACTCCAAGTCAAGGAATGCTTCTCAGAAGAAGTGGAAATTCAGCTATGAGCCAAAGGCTACATAGGTGTTTACTAGGACACGTGGGTTAGGGCACAAAAAGAACTATCAAAAGGCCAGGTGAGGCCAGGCACAGTGGCTCACACCTGTAATCCTGCACTTTGGGAGGCTGAGACAGGGGTATCATTTGAGGTCAGGAGTTTGAGACTAGCCTGGCCAACACGGTGAAACCCCGTCTCTGCTAAAAATATTAAAAAATTAGCTGGGCATGGTGATACACACTTGTAATCCCAGCTACTCAGGAGATTGAGCCAGGAGAATCACTTGAACCAGGAGGTGGGGAAAGAAAAGAAAGGAAAAGAAAAGAAAAGAAAGAGAAAGAAAGGAAGGAAGAGAGAGAGAGAGAAAGAGAGAGAGAGGGAGGGAGAGAAGGAGGGAGAGAGGGAGGGAGGGAAGGAAGGAAGGGAAAGAAAGAAAAGAAAAGAAAAGAAAGAAAGGAAAGAAAGAAAAAGAAAGAAGGAAAGAAAGAGAAAGAAAGAAAAGGAAGGAAGGAAGGAAGGAAGGAAGGAAGGAAGGAAGAGAAAGAGAAAGAAAGAAAGGAAGGAAGGAAGGAAGAAAGAAAGAAAGAAAGAAAGAGAAAAAGAAAAGAAAAAAGAAAAGGGAGGGAGGAAGGGAGGGAGGGAGGGAGGAAGGAAGGAAGGGAAAAGACAGAGAAAGAGAGGGAGAAAGAAGGGAGAAAGGGACAGAGAGAGAGAAGGAAAGAAAGAAAATAGAGTGGAACTACAAATGTTAAACCTTGAGTATTAAGGATCTGTTCTATAACCAGTGTCACAATGGCAAACTAACTCTCCAAAATAGGGGGGAAACATGTAATAAATCAGAAGAAAACTATGATTTCAATCTAACCTTGAGTTTATAAATCTCATTCATTCTTTGCTTCCTTATGCGTAGAATGAGGAATCCCTTGCAGGGATAAAACCTTCATTATTTTATGAAATGAAATGAGGTCTTTTATGATCAAGATTTAAATTATGTTCATTAACGGTTATAGCTTTCTAGTTTCATTGTCAGGGCGTGGGGACACAAAACATCTGCCATCTGCTTGCTAGTGGTTGCTGACTCGTAAAATGGCATTTTCCCTCTTCTCTTTACATAATCATCACTGAGACTAGTTAAGTGATTTGACTTTGCCTTTTTAACACCTAGTCTTGAGCCTACTGTGAGGAGTCATCTAATAAGTCAAATATCTGTATAACTACTGTAAGCATTTTTTATATCCAAATTTTTTTTCCTCCAGGACCTAAGATTAATTCTACCATTAAAATTTTAAGTACCTGATTTTCTAGAGCCTCTCTAGGTACTGGCTTACTGTATGCAATTGTCTGAGGTCCTCAGGCATCCCTGGCTTTCTAAAGAAGTTGAAAAGAAAAACATAATAATAATCAGGGCTGATGCTATCTCACTAATCCCAGTTTGGTACACCATAGCTGTTTTCAATAGCTTTTATGCTTCAGGTTATACAGAAAGTAGAATTTTCCAATTACAATTTTTTTTTTAAGACTGCAATGCAAGAGTGGTCCCTTTGACAAAGGAGATTCTTAGGCAGAATCTCCCAGCGTCATTGACAATGGGCCACAATAATTTCTCTTCTAAAATATTCCTACATGATTCGTTTATTGCACTAAATAAAAGTGAATGGTGGCACATGCTCACATGGAATATCATTTGAAATCTCTCCAAGGGCTTCTTATTACTTTAAAAACACCCCATTACAGTAATTTATTGTTACACCTTATTCACTCGTGCTTGCTTCAAGGGCTGTAATTAGAACCTGGAGAGCCATCCAGGGGCACATGGCCATAGGTTGGCCATATTGCTCCAAGAGACTTTCTAAATTTTTATTATGGACATGAATTTTCAAACATACCCCAAATTAGAGAGAATAGCACAATGAACCAACATGTACCCAACACTCAGCTTTGATAATTATCAATTCATGACTTTTCATGATCTCACCACCTTTCCATTCACTCAATCATGTTTTAGATTCCAGAGAGGCTTTCAAAGGAAGTCGTGGAATCTTCTGTGGCAATAACAACCATTCACATTCACTCCCGGAGATGTAGACTTTCTTGTGGCCTTACAGATTGATCACAGCCATCAAAGGAGGAATGAACACGTTTCCTGAGGCACTCTATTTACATACTCAGGGTTTTTCATCAATCATGTAAAAGAGAGTTACATTTTCAGGTCAAAGTGACTCATCAAGCCAGAGGGGTGAGTCATGGAAGACATATGACGCTTTCCAGTTTAACCTGCTGTGCGACTATGAACACCTGTAACAGTCATCTTGCCATAAATCTCTCCCTGACCTTTCTGTGACAAGAGAAACTGCTACCAAATCCTGAATCCTACCTGTATAGTAAGAAATGATTTCAGTGTTTATTGCAGAAATCTTCTATTTGGAGAATTTAAATTTAAATCAAATTCAGAGGCAAATTCATATCTTACTTTAGAAGTAAAGCAAATCATTGGAAAAAGCACTGGGGGAGAGAGATTGAGATAGAGAAAGAGAGAGATTCTCTTTCAATCAGCAATTCTGTGTCTATTAGTTTTTCTTGAAATAAGCAAGTCTTGAAAGATGTATGTACTGGGTGTTTATTGCAGTAGATTGAATATTACGAAAATATTGAAAATTATCCAAAAATCTAAGGCTATGAAACTTAATTATGGAATATTCATACAATGAAATATTATGAAGTCTTGAAGAATGATAGGAAATTGTGATATATTGTTTTAAAAGTTGTATCTTCAATAAATAGTGAAAAGAGGAAGATATCAGAAAAACCTACAGATTAAAAGAGACTTATGAAACTTTTTTTTTAATGGGGGAGACAAGTTCTCACTCTGTTGCCCAGGCTGGAGTGCATAGTGTGATCATGGCTTACTGCAGCCTCAACTTCCTGATCTCAAGTGATCCTCCTGCCTCAGCCTCCCAAGCAGCTGGGACTATAGGTGCACACTACCATGTCCAGCCAGGAAACATATTAACCAGTTGCAATGTACTGCATTGCCCTCATAAGTCTAAGCATGCACACATACAGAATATTAAGGAAATGTAAACACTGACCAATTATTGAATTATACTATGGAATTTTTATAATTATTTTTAAGTGTGATAATGGTTTTTTTTTTAGTTCTATATTTTAGAGAAAAAATACTATGCTGATTGGAGAATGTAAAGATATAGATGAAACAAGATTGAGGAAGTTTGAAAGTTTACTATACACTTCTCTCTACTTATGTACATGTTGAAAATGATCCATTTGTTAAAAGGTTTTTTTAAGTTATAAAACAGTGTGTATACTGTGACCCTATTTGTTAATTATTTTAATATCTTTTTTCTTATTCTTCTATAAAAGACATGACAATATTTTGAGGTAAAAATACTTTTTACTTATTCATGTATTTATTTTTTGAGATAGGGTCTCACTCTGTCACCCAGGCCTGAATGCAGTGGCATGATCTTGGCTCACTGCAGCTTCTGCCTCCCAGGTTCAAGCGATTCTTCTGCCTCAGCCCCTGAGTAACTGGGATTACAGGCATGAGCCACCATGCCTGGCTAATTTTTGTATTTTTAGTAGAGACAGAGTTTCACCATGTTGCCCAGACTGGTCTTGAACTCCTGACCTCAAGTGATCCGCCCGCTTCGGCCTCCCAAAGTTCTGGGATTACAGACGTGAGCCACCACACCTGGCCCAAACATACTTTTTATAATAAATAAGTAATTTGACAACTTGAACTGATTTACTCTAGCCATTAATCTCTCAAAATTTGCTGTTTTCCCATTATATCTAATATACTACTGAGTTTACAGTTCATAAACTATTAAAAATGACAGCGTGAGATGGACTCACATGTTGTCTCAAATTAAGATCTTCTATTATCATAAGGCCCATCCATCAGTTGTGAGGTGACTTTTATCCTGTGGCCAGGGAGCCTGATAATTCATGCCTGGGGCAAGCAAGGAGATCAGGACAACTCACGCGAAACCCCGGACTTTCCAGTTTTCATACAAAGCTGGACTTTCATAAACAAAACAAGGAAAGAAACTGAGCATCTTAACAGGCGAATTTAGGGGAAAAAACAAACAAACAAACAAACGTCTTTTTTATATAAATGATTTGAGTAATTTAGAAAAATTTTAAGGGCCATTTTGCCTAAATTAATAAGAAAATGTGATTGCTCCAGGTACCAATTTTGCTCTTTTAAGATGGCCGGGTTTACCTCAGCTCTCAGAAAAAAAAACAAATCATCCCACCGTAACATTTTCACACTCCTAAAATAAGCTTTAAATTTTATTTATTTATTTATTTATTTATTTATTTTTGAGACAAGGTCTCTGTTTCACTCAAATTGAGTGTAGTGGCATGATCGTGGCTCACTGCAGCCTCTAACTCCTGGGCTCAAATGATCCTCCCAACTCAGCCTCCCAACTAGCTAGGACTGCAGGCACGCAACACCACATCTAGCTATTTTTTTTATTTTTTGTAGAGATGGGGTCCCACTGTGTTGCCCAGGTTGGTCTCAAACTCCTAGATGCAAGTGATCCTCCTGCCTCAGCCTCCCAAAGGGCTGGATTACAGGCCTGAGCCACCACACCCAGCCAAGTTTTGAGTGGGCCTTCCTGAAAGTGAAAGTGAAAGTGACTGTGTGCATATACAATGGAATTGGAATAAATTAAATGTAATGAACTTCTCACATCAGCCTCTGTTGATGGGTGGGCTGTGCTATGTACTTGCTCTTGCTTAAAGACCCAACCACACATCCTGTGTGCAGGAAAGACAGCAGTTTGGAAATTGCAGGACTGTGATTCTGCTCATGCCCTCCAAGGCTCCAAACTGTTTGACTAGAAAATTCTGCTTTGCTTCTGGTGTTGGTCTCCGCTTGCTAGGTCTCTCAACTGCAGGCCCTGAGCCCTATCTCAGGTAACTAAGTTCTGCCCCACTCAACTTCTGAGTCCAAGTTCATCATCTGTCCAGAGTGAGTCTTTGCCACACCAGAGTAGGGTGGAGTGGGCCTTGCTACCCTGCCCTGTAGCCAGATGGGTGCTAGGTCTGGAGGCTTCTCCCCTGACCCCTTGTCATTCACAATAGCACCTCGGGACTTCTGTTTTGGTTTTCTGAATGTTCCCCTGGCCCATACCCAGGGGGAAGCCCACAGTCTCAGCCCCCTAGAAGTGGCCCCTTTTCATCCTGTAGTAACCACAGGCTGAGGTCTGATTCCCTTCATAAGGGACCACCTGAAACTACACTGCCCCCTCCTGGATGCCATTCCTCTTGCTATGACATCCATGCAAGCAACTGGCCGCCCCCCTCCACATGAGACACCCAAAAATTTTCTTGGGATGGGATTGAACTCTAATTTGCTATACCTGTAAAACATAATTAGGACCGTAGGGTATGCCTCAGTGGTAATACAGAAGCAGGAGCCGACTGATAAATTTTCAGGATTTTTGCAAGTTGGACTGTTAAACACCCCCAGTATTAAAATTTGAGTCATATAAACTTTTAATTAATCTATACTAAAAATAAAGGTCATACTCAAAACTCATCACTTCTTATCTTACTACATTTTACTACTGTCTATGCTCTGAGTTATTTACATTGACTGTAGTGTTATTTGTATGACTGTAGTGTTATTTGTATGGTGGAAATTACTCCACTTATCAAATCATGGTTGAATTGCAACCATCGGTTGGCTATGGAGACAAGAGTTCAGTAAAAATCAATGAAAGCATTCTGTGAGAGTCAATTGGCCATATGGGACTTAAAATAAGGGTATTGCATATTTTATTATTATTTATAAATGGCATGCTACTCATCCTTTTTTGTATCAATAAAATTTATAAGTTGATGTATTTTATTTTCCAAAGAGCCTATTGTTAAGCATTTCCCAGCACACCACTGTATCCCATCTACCGGACTGTGAGCCCAGTTCTATGGTCTCATCCACAACTTCGGTTCTGCTCACCTCCTGCACTGACTTTGAGACTGTTGGAGAACAGGAGGCTCATACCCAACCCACTCTTAATTTATCTCATCCATGTGGCAGGACATCCATTAGCATAACACACCTGGCTTCGGCTCCCCGCCACACTCCTCTAGGCAAACTGACTTACCCGGTTGGTGAATTTGGAAGAAAAACTGTGTCATATATAGCTTAGCTTTTTTCCTTTTCTTAGGAGCTACCCGCAGGAGGGGCATCTTTCTCCAGAGGCAAAGCCTGCCTTGTTCTGGTGTTGCCTGAGGCTGATGGGCAAGTTGGTCAAATCCCAAAGTTTAGTTGATAAGAACTGCACTTGCTTGAAGATAGAAGCTATGCTTTCCCAAGTAGCATTGATCAATAAGGAGCTACCTGCAGGTAGCAGGTATGTTGGCCTCCATCTGCTGACTGCTTGGCTTTATTTCTCAATTGGCTCAAAAATTGAATGGAGAAAAGGAGTGCTCTTTATTGGCCCCCTTAGAAACTCCACAGTGGTCCTCTCCCATCAGCCTTTGTTCCTGAGGTCCCAGAATGCCTTGTGGCCGTGCCCATATTTCTTGGCACACATAAGCTCTTTCTGTCTTTCTTTTTTTTCTTGAGACAGAGTCTCACTGTCACCAGGCTGGAGTGCAGTGGCACAATCTCAGCTCACTGCAACCTCCGCCTCCCGGGCTCAAGCGGTTCACCTGCCTCAGCCTCCCAAGTAGCTGGGACTACAGGCACGTGCCACCACACCCAGCTAATTTTGGTATTTTTAGTAGAGACGGGGTTTCACCATGTTGGCCAGGATGGTCTCGATCTCTTGACTTGTGATCCGTCCACCTCAGCCTCCCAAAGTGCTGGGATTACATGCATGAGCCACCATGCTCAGCCATTAGCCCTTTTTAAAAGAAGAAAAACCGACTGGCAAATTTATTTTATTCTAATCCCTTTATTCTCAATATGTACATGTAATAATCATAACGTTTACACAATTGAGCCCCTTTTATATGTTAGATATTGTACATACAAATAGCAAATAGACCTTGGAAAACAAGTGTTATTATCACTTTACAGATGAGGAAATTATGTCCTAACGTGTTTAAGTAACTTGCTCGGGGTCACAAAGTGACTGAGCCAGTTGTCGGATGCCAAGGCCCTTGCTCTTTCCATTACAATTTCCCTCCCTTCCCTTTATCTTTCCTCCACCCCCATTCTTCCAATCTTCCTTTCTCTTCTCTCTCTTGCCCTCTCTTCTGCCGAGCCCTGTATGACTACCATTCCTCATTGCCACATTTTCTAGCCCTTTAACATGTCAGAAAATTGAAGAAGCATTTGAAACCTCAGATATTTCAGTATATTTAAAAATATCTACAAAATCTTACCCCAGCAGCTGGGCCCCTAAGAAGCCTGGCAGCAAGCAGTAGGAAAACTGTGGCTGTGTTTTTAATATCCTCCTCAGGTTTCTCAGGAGGAATGTCCAGCATCCCATTCGAGGTCCTGGGGGAGAAGGTCACAAAGAAACCAGTACATACAGAGAGAGAGGCCACAGGACTTCATCAAGCTGGGGTCTGCCCAGGCATGACCTGGGAGCTGGGCCCTGTGTGAAAAATGCAGCCTTTCCTCAGATGGAATGTGTGCCCGTCACCTCTGAATCAAGGTTTCTTTCCCTGGGGTCAATAGTTGTGTAAATAGCTCAGGGACTGAGCAAACAGTTTAGCAATTACTTGGGGAATGACTGAGAGAAGAAGAAAATATGTACATATCATGCATTCTCAATCAGGTAGTATTGCCCCCAATGGGGTGAAAATTGGTTCTTGAGAACTCAAAAAAATACACAGTATATCTATGATATTAAAATTTCATAGAGGGGTTGATTAAGAAAAACATGTCTTAACCGGCTCCTTAGGAGAGCAATGATTTTTTTAATGGTTGAAAAACATAGATGAATATAAAGAACTTAACATAGCATGTGACACATAGTAGGTATTCAATACATGAGAAATGTAGTTGCTATTATAGTCATTAGTCGTTATTATGATTGTTCTACAAACTCATTAGAGAAATCATCCAGACCCATCATAGTTAGGGCAGAGAAGGTTGTGCTGTGCCAAGTTCACAGATGAAGCTAGCTTTTGGCGGATTTTGCCTGAGCTAGAGGTCAGAACTGCCCAGGGTTCTAGAAAACAGAAAGATTCTTGCACACTGCTGGGATGAGCAGAAACATTTGTGTACACAGTGTTAAAATAAAATTTAAAAAGTGGGGCATGGCATGAATGTTTAGGCTGTGTTCAGACTTTCACAATGCCTGCTATCATCCTCTGGGGAAAGGACATGATTAAGGCATGAATGTAGGGTTGGGGAAAATGCTGGGCAACTTCTCATACATGCTGCATGTGCTCTGCAGGTTTGTAAAAACCTAAATATCTAATGAATATTGTTTTTGTTTTTGGTTTTTTTTTTTTTTTTTTTAGGCAGAGTCTTGCTCTGTCACCAGGCTGGAGTGCAGTGGCACAATCTTGGCTCACTACAACCTCCCCTTGCCGGGTTCAAGCGATTTTCCTGCCTCAGCCTCCCGAGTAGCTGGGACTACAGGCGCCCACCACCACGTCTGGCTAATTTTTAGTATTTTAGTAGAGATGGGGTTTCAGCATGTTGGCAAGGATGGTCTCCATCTCCTGACCTCATGATCCGCCCGCCTTGGCCTCCCAAAGTGCTGGGATTACAGGCGTGAGCCACCGTGCCTGGCCCCCAATGATTATTCTTAAAACCTATGTTTGTATGACTCTCAGTGTACAAATGTACACTTATTTAAGTGTAAATTAATTAAGTGTAATTAAATAAATTTTAAAATGTAAATTATCAACAATTGTGGAAAGCAGTGTAGTGATTCCTCAAAGAACTAAAAACAGAACTACCATTCGACCCAGCAATCCCACTCCTGGGTATATACCCAAAGGACTGTAAATCGTTTTACCATAAAGACACATGCATGTGTATGTTCATTGCAGCACTATTCACAAGAGCAAAGAATCAACCTAAATGCCCATCAGCAGTACTCTGGATAAAGAAAATGTGGTGTATACACACCATGGAATGCTATGCAGCCATAAAAAAGAACGAGATCATGTTCTTTGCAGGAACATAGATGAAACTGGAGGCCACTAGCCTTAGCAAAATAATGAAGGAACAGAAAACCAAACACCACATGTTCTCACTTATGAGTGGGAGCTAAACAATAGGAACACATGGACATGTAGAGGGGAACAGCAAGTACTGGGGTTTACTTGAGGGTAGAGGAGGGGAGAAGGGAGAGGTTCAGGGAAAAAAAAAATGTTGGGTACTGGGCTTAGTACCTGATTGACAAAGTAATCTGTACACCAAACCCCCAACTCAGGAGTTTACCTATATAACAAACCTGCACATGTACCCCTAAACCTAAAATAAAAGTTAAAATATTTTTTAAAAAGTGGTTTCCCATATAATATCTTATGAAATCATCATAATAACCCTGCAAATTCAGTATTAGATCCCTACCTGAAGGATGAGGAAGCAGAGGCTCAGAGTCCTCTCAGTTATTTGTTCTTTTTAGCTACCCAGTAGTAAGTATCAGAGCAAGCTTTATTTCTACCGTACTCCACCACCTCTTTAAAATCCCTTTCCCACAGAGGAGGAGGACATAGGAAATGCTAAAGCTATGGAGCAAAAGCCACATATTGGGACTTGGGGACTCCCTGGTAAGGGATACGATAGTGCCTGTAAGTGGACATAACCAAACCATGTAAGAAGTGGGTATTATGTTCATGGAGTATGAATCTAGCATATGGCAGAACCTACTGAGGCTGGTCAAAGTCATCTACTGCCAAGTTATAGGGAAATGAAAACCCATTAAAATAGAATATGGAAGCATCACAAGGTGCTGTGAAGCTCAGGACATAAAAGACTTAGGAGCACATTGAGAATAAAAATATAATATGAAAAATCAATGACTAGGTACACAGTTGGTGCTGGAGTTTATTTTAAGGCCATAGCTTCAAATGTAGGAATGATGGCTATTTGGCTAAGAGTGGAGAGAATTTTTCAAAGACTGAAAAGAATGTGTTTAGTCAGAGACTAACTCATCTGGCCAGAAGGGCTGTAAATGGAAAACAGATGGGAAAGGAGAAAAAAACACCTAGATAAAACTGAAACGGGTTTCCATGGATGATATTAAGGAGGGCCTGGGAAGAATTTCAACAGTGAGGGAGGTGCCGCATAGTTCAATGAGAAAACAGCTGGGAAGGACATCAGAAACAAAACATAGGCAGCAGATGTCCAGATATCATGCACAGAACATGAGCAACGTGGTAACCTTGAGATTACAGCACAGGGTGACAAACAAGACCTCACAGATACCACTGAGAGTTGGCGGGCTGGAACAGATCCATGGGAACATAGTGATAGAAGGGTGTGCTGTGTACAAAAGACCTGTTGAGAGGAGGAGAAGCTGCACTGTAGGCTGTGATAACAATAGATTGAGAGGAATCTCTGAACACTTGGATGAAGATGAAAGGACAGAGGAACACAAGTGACGTTTTTGTGGAAGCACAGCTGAGCCACATGGAGGAAAGCCACAAAATTGGCACAGTACCCACAATTAATGAGGATAAGATTCAGGATACTTCATTCAGATAAAAGCAGAGGTTTTCACTTGCCTCTCTAACAATTTTATGTCCTAGAAGGTAGAGGAAGGAATAAAAACAACTGTGCTCTGACTGATTCCAATCCTTAGGAAGAAGCCACCTGGCAAAGTGGAAAGGATGAGAACTAGAGAATGTGCCTGTCATCTTCAGGGGAGAGCCTGATGGAGCTAGAACAAAGGTGGATACAGGACTTCAGGAAGTTAGACTCCAAAATATTTTAAGAAAATATGGCGGCCAGGCGTGGTGGCTCACGCCTGTAATCCTAGTACTTTGGGAGGCTGAGGCGGGCGGATCACAAAGTCAGGAGATCGAGACCATCCTGACTAACCTGGTGAAACCCTGTCTCTACTAAAAAAAAGAAAAAGAAAAAGAAAATATGGCATAATTCCACAAGTTTCTAGAAAAGGAAACAGTATCAACAAGCACTCAAAAGCATGGCTTTGGATAATTCCAATGAGAAGACAAGAGAGAAGGGGAGACTCTCAAAGAAACTAGTGATGGCAGAGCCCTTTAAGCAAGGACGTAGAATGGATGTTCAAAAAGATGGAGGTAGGTGATCACTGCATGAGAGTGGCAAAGAACAACAGAAATAGTAGCAGGGATGTTAATATCCTGGAAGGATCAAAGCATGCAAAAATGGGAAGGACCAGAGAGAGTGTTATGGGGCCAATGGGATTACAATAATGGATGGTAGAAAGTATGCACTATTTCTCAAATGATGTCACATTCTTTTAGGCCCTGTCGAGGACCGTGATTGTAGGACTGAAAAGGTTGTACAAAAGTGAATACGTGTATGTTGAAATTCAAGTTTGGGGAAATGTTACTGATCCTTTTTGAAATCTAATCTAGGATCAAAGTTTCTGGTCCACAGTCTGGGAATCAAAGAGTATACATTTGCTGATTTTCAAACGTTCTTATTCCTAAGTATTATGAATCGCATTTCAGCAAGTTGATCTTCAAATTCATCTTGCAGAAGCTTGGGAGTGAGCTTGGGAGTGTAATTCATTTGGGTGAGAAGAACTGATTCCATTTTTCGATCATCTGCATATTCTCTTTTATTATCAGAATTTTTCAACTGGATATGTCCAGCTGAAAGCTTAAAACTAGCTAACTAGCTGCAGAAGGACAGTTTCCAAGGTCCTCAGCAGGATGCTGTGTGTATCTCTAGGTAAAGAAATGTTACTTAATTAAGGTATTCTATCTTTAAGAAAGCAAATTGCAATGTGTTGGAGTTTCTTAAGAACTTTTAGAGTGGCTCTTCATTAAAGAACTACTAAAAGTGCTTTTATAATGGTTATGGAATTTTCCTCTAATTAGTACACCATTTCATAAAGTTCAAGAACAGGCAAAACTAATCTGTGAGGATAGAAACCATAATAGTGATTGCCAGGATAGTTGGGAGGGAGTGATAGAATGAAAAGGAACACTAGTGAACTTCCTAGGATAATGGCACACTCTATTTTTCTATTGGGGTATGGGTTATATGGGTATATGCATTGGTCAAATCTCATTATTGTATGTTAAACTGTCACTGTATGTCATTACACCTCTGTAAAAATACATACAAGTATATAAATCTGGGCAGTTATATGAAAAGAAAAAGAATAACTTTTCTCCTGTGACTTGACAGTAAATAAATGAAGTTAACATAAACAGTTAAGGAATCAGATAAAAAGCAGAATCTCCGAGTTTGAAATCAGCAGTGTTCCCTAAGTAGATTTGGGAAAGTGTAAGTCTTACCAACACCCTCAAGTTGTTAATTTTCTATTGGCAAGGTCTTCCGTATGGAGAAAGTGGTGCATTGCTACTTTCTATCCTGGTTCCACTGGCACTAGGTACCAGTGATTTCCAAACTTCCATGCACATAAATATCGCCTTGGATACTTGTTAAAAATGCAGACTCTGGGCCCATATCTGGAGATTCCTATACAGTAGCTTTGGCTGAGTGTCGAGGATTTGCATTTTAATGATCATCCTTGATGAGACTGATGTAGGTGGTCCATGGACCTACACTTGGAGAAGCATTTCATTAGACAATCAAATCATAAAACTACCACCTACTTGCTCTAATTTTAGGCTCTCCAGACAACCTTCTGATAATAAAGCCTTTTTCCATGGCTTCATGGAGAAAATATGTTGCTTATATCACCCTGTATTCCAGCCCATGTGCTAGCATTCTTTCTCATTCTAAATAATAAATAGGCATTGGCTTTGTATCCCAGTCTGAGGAGCTTGCTAAATATTGGTTTGCCCCGATAGACGGATGTGCTTACTATGTGATACTGAAAAATCATGCCTCTGGGCTTGCAAGAGACAAAAATATGATTTGTGCTAAATTTACAGAGATAAAGAATATTTCCAAAATAGGATCTCTTTTTAAAAACTCTGTGCCTAACATCATAATGACTATTATATTCTTTTTAAAGTAATTGGACTTAACAATAAACAGGTATATATAAATATAACATTTGACTTAACAATAAACATGTATATATAAATATAATGTTTGACTTAACAATAAACATGTATATATAAATCTGTTTTCATTTTAAAGAAATCAAATGAATCTTTTAATAATGTATATTGTGGTTCATTTTTATGATTCAAAATAAATGTTTATTATTGAAATTTGGGGAAAATGGAAATGTATTTTTTAAAAATCACCTGTTCTACTACCCTGAGCTAACCATGGTTAACATTTTAACTTTTTTTCCTTCAAGTCATTTTTCTATGTCTTTATGTACATGTATTTATTATAGTGGTGGTGGCAGCGGTGGTTTATTACTTTACAAACCTGGGATTATGCTTAATAAGTATAATTTCCTAACATGATATAATTGTATCACATCTTAACATGATTTGCTCTCCTCTGATCTAATTTTATTTTTCTTCTTAGGGCACTTATCACAAAAGTGATATATTTGTTTGCTTATTTATTTTTTGTCCTTTCCTGCAGGTGTGATCCAGAGAACATGCCTTTCACTGTGAAAACCAGCACCTTCAAGGCCAGGCGCAGTGGCTTGCGCCTATAATCCCAGCATATTGGGAGGCCGAGGTGGGTGGATCACCTGAGGTCAGGAGTTCAAGACCAACCTGACCAACATGGTCTACTAAAAATACAAAAATTAGCCCGGCATGGTGGCGGGCGCCTATAATCCCAGGTACTCGGGAGGCTGAGACATGAGAATAGCTTGAACCAGGGAGGCGGAGGTTGCAGTGAGACGAGATCACACCATTGCACTCCAGCCTGGGCAACAGAGCAAGACTCCATCTCAAAAACAAACAAACAAACAAACAAAAACACCACACAAAACCAGCACCTTCCACAGTGTCTAGCATACGTTAGTCACCAAAACAGGTTTGCTAAATGAACAAATGAATGAATGGCATTTTATGTGTCAGTAAATATGCTTCAAAATCATGATGTATGATGAGTAAGCAACTCTATCAAATAAATATAACGTAATTTGCTGTGAGCACATAATTTGCTGTGTTCTAGTATTGAACAGTTGGACTATTTCCATATTTTAATTTTTACTATTATGTTTGAGGATGATATATAAATCTTTTTTTTTTTTTTTTTTTTTAGCTTTTTTTTTTTTTTTTTTTTTTTTATTTATTTTTAATTTTTTTTTTATTGATAATTCTTGGGTGTTTCTCACAGAGGGGGATTTGGCAGGGTCATGGGACAATAGTGGAGGGAAGGTCAGCAGATAAACAAGTGAACAAAGGTCTCTGGTTTTCCTAGGCAGAGGACCCTGCGGCCTTCCGCAGTGTTTGTGTCCCTGATTACTTGAGATTAGGGATTGGTGATGACTCTTAACGAGCATGCTGCCTTCAAGCATCTGTTTAACAAAGCACATCTTGCACCGCCCTTAATCCATTTAACCCTGAGTGGACACAGCACATGTTTCAGAGAGCACAGGGTTGGGGGTAAGGTCACAGATCAACAGGATCCCAAGACAGAGGAATTTTTCTTAGTGCAGAACAAAATGAAAAGTCTCCCATGTCTACTTCTTTCTACACAGACACGGCAACCATCCGATTTCTCAATCTTTTCCCCGCCTTTCCCGCCTTTCTATTCCACAAGGCCGCCATTGTCATCCTGGCCCGTTCTCAATGAGCTGTTGGGCACACCTCCCAGACGGGGTGGTGGCTGGGCAGAGGCGCCCCTCACCTCCCGGACGGGGCGGCTGGCCGGGCGGGGGGGGCTGACCCCCCCCACCTCCCTCCTGGACGGGGCGGCTGGCCGGGCGGGGGGCTGACACCCCCACCTCCCTCCCGGACGGGGCGGCTGGCCGGGCAGAGGGGCTCCTCACTTCCCAGTAGGGGCGGCCGGGCAGAGGCGCCCCTCACCTCCCGGACGGGGCGGCTGGCCGGGCAGGGGGGCTGACCCCCCCCACCTCCCTCCCGGACGGGGCGGCTGGCCGGGCAGAGGGGCTCCTCACTTCCCAGTAGGGGCGGCCGGGCAGAGGCGCCCCTCACCTCCCGGACGGGGCCACTGGCCGGGCAGGGGGGCTGACCCCCCCCACCTCCCTCCCGGACGGGGCGGCTGGCCGGGCGGGGGGCTGACCCCCCCACCTCCCTCCCGGACGAGGCGGCTGGCCGGGCGTGGGGCTGACACCCCCACCTCCCTCCCGGACAGGGCGGCTGGCCGGGCGGGGGGCTGACCCCCCCACCTCCCTCCCGGATGGGGCGGCTGGTCGGGCGGGGGGCCGACCCCCCCACCTCCCTCCCGGACGGGGCGGCTGGCCGGGCAGAGGGGCTCCTCACTTCCCGGTAGGGGCGGCCGGGCAGAGGCGCCCCTCACCTCCCAGACGGGGCGGCTGGCCGGGCGGGGGGCTGACCCCCCCACCTCCCTCCCGGACGGGGCGGCTGGCCAGGCGGGGGGCTGACCCCCCCACCTCCCTCCCGGACGGGGCGGCTGGCCGGGTGGGGGGGCTGACCCCCCCATCTCCCTCCCGGACGGGGTGGCTGGCCGGGCTGAGGGGCTCCTCACTTCCCAGTAGGGGTGGCCGGGCAGAGGCGCCCCTCACCTCCCGGACGGGGCGGCTGGCCGGGCGGGGGGCTGACCCCCCCACCTCCCTCCCGGATGGCACGGCTGGCCGGGCGGGGGGGCTGACCCCCCACCTCCCTCCCGGATGGGGCGGCTGGCCGGGTGGGGGGCTGACCCCCCCCCACCTCCCTCCCGGATGGGGTGGCTGCTGGGCGGAGATGCTCCTCACTTCCCAGATGGGGTGGCTGCCGGGCGGAGAGGCTCCTCACTTCTCAGACGGGGCAGCTGCCGGGCGGAGGGGCTCCTCACTTCTCAGACGGGGTGGTTGCCAGGCAGAGGGTCTCCTCACTTCTCAGACGGGGCGGCCGGGCAGAGACGCTCCTCACCTCCCAGACGGGGTCTCGGCCGGGCAGAGGCGCTCCTCACATCCCAGATGGGGCGGCGGGGCAGAGGCGCTCCCCACATCTCAGACGATGGGCGGCCGGGCAGAGACGCTCCTCACTTCCTAGATGTGATGGCGGCTGGGAAGAGGTGCTCCTCACTTCCTAGATGGGATGGCGGCCGGGCGGAGACGCTCCTCACTTTCCAGACTGGGCAGCCAGGCAGAGGGGCTCCTCACATCCCAGACGATGGGCGGCCAGGCAGAGACACTCCTCACTTCCCAGACGGGGTGGCGGCCGGGCAGAGGCTGCAATCTCGGCACTTTGGGAGGCCAAGGCAGGCAGCTGGGAGGTGTAGGTTGTAGTGAGCCGAGATCACGCCACTGCACTCCAGCCTGGGCACCATTGAGCACTGAGTGAACGAGACTCCGTCTGCAATCCCGGCACCTCGGGAGGCCGAGGTTGGCGGATCACTCGCGGTTAGGGGCTGGAGACCGGCCCGGCCAACACAGCGAAACCCTGTCTCCACCAAAACCAGTCAGGCGTGGCGGCGCGTGCCTGCAATCGCAGGCACTCGGCAGACTGAGGCAGGAGAATCAGGCAGGGAGGATGCAGTGAGCCGAGATGGCAGCAGTACAGTCCAGCTTCGGCTCCGCATGAGAGGGAGACCGTGGGGAGAGGGAGAGCGAGAGGGAGACGGAGAGTGAGAGGGAGACGGAGAGGGAGAGGGAGAGGGAGAGGGAGAGGGAGAGGGATAAATCTTATTTATAAAAAGAGTTCATATTTCTGAATATCTCCTTAGGATTAATTCCTAGAAGTAGATTTATTATGTCAAAAACGATGACAGTTCTAAAGACCTTTTACACATATTGCCAAATAACTTTCCAGGAATACTGCCTATTTATATGTCTATAAGCAGCACAAGAAAATCTCCATCTCTTTGTATCTTTACTTACATTGAGTATTGCCACATTAATACAAATCCTGGCCAATTAAATAAGTCAAAAACTGTATCCCTTTGATATTTGAACTGATTAGCAAGATAACAATAAAGAGTATTATCTTACTATGTTACATATGAAAGATTATTGCAATTAAAGTAGTTTTTGCTTTGTTTTTTAATAGATATATTATAGATATTGATGTTATTAAGCCTTTTTTTTTTTTTTTTTGAGACAGAGTCTCCCTCTTGTCTCCCAGGCTGGAGTGCAATGGCTCAATCTCAGCTCACTGCAACCTCCGCCTCCCGAGTTCAAGCGATTCACTGGCTAATTTTTTATATTTTAGTAGAGACAGGGTTTCATCACCATGTTGGCCAGGCTGGTCTGGAACTCCTGACCTCAGGTGATCCTCCTTCCTGGCCTCCCAAAGTGCTGAGATTATAGGTGTGAGCCACTGCACCCAGCTTAAGTCTTTTAACTTTATAATTTATTCCTTATTTTGTGCTCAGAAAGCCATTGCCTATCTTGAGATAAGGTAAATACTCACCTCTACTTCTTGCTAGTTGTTTAAAGGTTTCATTTTTCACACGTAAGTCCCTCATCTGTTTGGAATGATTTTAGTCTATGGTATAGGATATAAATCCAACTGATTTTTTTTTCATTTAATTAATGGTCCCAATATAATGTAACCAAGTAATCTTCCTTTTCTTTATTTGATTGTCACTTTCATCACATAATCTTTTTCAATATTCAATTTGTTCCATTTTGTCCCAGCATCACCTTGTTTGGCATTTTCCAACTTCATATGAAGGTTAAATATTTAATAAGGCATATTGCCTCAAATTATTTCCTTGTAAGTTCCATATGTGATAACTAATATGTTGTTATCACTCCTGTTGAGTTTGAATACTGGTGAAGTGGAATGCTTTTTTATTTTTTATTTTTTGTCTATTTATCTATTTGAGATAGGATCTCGCTCTGTCACCTAGGCTGGAGTGAAATCGGACGATCATAGCTCACTGCAGCCTCGACCTCACCGACTTAAGCGATCTTCCAGTCTCAGCCTTGGAGTGCTTTTTCTTTTCTTTTCTTTTCTTTTTTTTTTGAAGCGGAATCTCACTCTGTTGCCCAGGCTGCAGTGCATTGGCACGATCTTGGCTCACTGCAACCTCCACCTCCTGGATTCAAGCGATTCTCCTGCCTCAGCCTCCTGAGTAGGTGGGACTACACGTGTGTGCCACCACTCCTGACTAATTTTTGTGTTTTTAGTAGAGATAGGGTTTCACCATGTTGGCCAGCCTGGTCTTGAACTCCTGACCTCAATTGATCCACCCGCCTCAGCCTCCCAAAGTGCTGGGATTATAGGCGTGAGCCACCGTACCCAGACGGAGTGCATTTCCAAATGTGTATTTATTGACCACTTGTATTTTTCATTTGTTTGTTGTCTGTCCATATAATTTGGCAAGTTTAGGGCACTCAATTTTTTTTACTGATTTGTAATCACACTCTATTAATTGAACATAGCACATGGTTTATCTTTGTCTTTATTTTAATTTTTCATAGCTGGAATATTTGACCCACCTATAACTGGCCGAATTTCTGCATTAGGAACTTGCTATTATTGGAGCATCCATTCTTTTCCCACTGATTTGAAATGTCACTTTTATCGCCTTGTGTTTATAACTCTAAGATCAGGCTGCTGCCATTCATACACCACAAACCTCTTTACCACGGTTTTCTATAAGGTTGTGAGTGAACTGGAACAGTGGCCTTTAACACATGGTAAATGGCATATAAGTGATAGCTCTTATTATTGCACTGGCTAAAAGATCTCTCCCTTTGTGGTTTTGTTTGTTTCCACTTCCCCCTTTATTTGGTGAGAACAACAAGCTCAGTAAGGCTCAACCTTTGCTCTTTGAATCGGTTCAGTTACTCACCTCCCTAGAGGCAGTTTAGAAACTCCCTCGAGCAGAATAAATGAAGCTCTCCTAATTCTTTGTTTTGATGTTTCTGCCCACACCCACACTCCTGACACTGTCAAATATTCCAGCCTCTGACTTTGGGATCCTAAGAGATGCTGTGGGATTTAACTGCGGAGGTGACACATTCAATGTATAATGGTAACCTGAAGGGGCACTGATCCCACTGAACTCCTTAGCTCCCAGCTTAGGAACTGACTGTGGCAAATTTCAGTTAGCAAGTACATCTAGCACAGTGAAGGCTAGCAATTTCTGAAGTCCTTCAGTTCACTTCCCAGCCCCTAGTTCTGTGAATTGCCTCAGGGCTGGCTCCTAACAGCTGTGCCTGGGCTCTGAGCTTGGAATTTTCTTCTTTGAACTCATACAGAAAAATTTACGTGTTTTCTTTTTTTTCTGTCAATCTATTTCCAGATGCTTTATAGCTTTCAGAACTATAGCTGAGTACAATCTACCAAAAACGTAGTGGTTTAAAACAACAATTTATTATTATCTTATGAGCCTCTGTGTTGACTGAGTTTAGCTGAGCTGTTCTTCTGGTCTCACTTCTGGTCTCTCATGCAGTCATAGATAGCAGCTAGGACGGCAGTCCTCTGGAGGCTGTGCTGCATGGAGACATCCAAGATGACTTCTCTCACATGTCTAGCAACTTGATGCTTCTCCACATGGCCTGTCTCCTCATCCTTAGGGGTATCTCATCCTCCAGGGTTTCTACACATGACCACTTTCTACAGCGTGGTAGCTGGATGCATACATTATGGTCCGCTTTCATGAGTGCAAAAAAGGAAGGTGCCAGGACTTTTAAAGGCTTAAATCCAAAATGCTACAGCATCACTGTCACTGCATTTTATTGATTAAAGTCCACCTGCAATATGGGAGGAGACTACACAGAGGAATAAGTACCAACAAGCGTGGTTCACTGGGATCATTTTTGTATAACTATCACATCACTTTGTTTTGGTTTCCAAAGCTGTTGTGTTTTGGGACGTTTTTTGAAATTACTTCAAAAAGATTTAGAGGAGAAAAAAATGAACTCAGTTTTAATTCACCATCTTAAAGTGGGAATCCAGTATTTGTTTTGAAAATGGCTGTAGAAATTATTTTTTGGTATTTGTGTTATTCTCTTTTTACTATGTGCATTGTGTAATACAACATATACAATAATCTCATTTTCTAATCCTGTCAACATCACTTAATTGAAAAAATATGGTTTTCTTTGAAAATAAAATCTCTCAGAATAAGAATATATTCAATTCTTTAATTCAATAAACATTTAAAAAAATCCCTTATATGCTGGGTCCTATAATCAAGGTACAGAGTGACTAATATTTTCAATTTGATTCAATGATCAGTAATCATAAAGCATTCTTTTTTTTAAAAGTACATTAAGCTCTTATTAAATTTATGGAACTATAGGGGTATAAAGGATTTTAAGGCAGTGTTGTCCTCAGGGAGCCTTAAAATAGGAATAGTTATTAAATGTAATAAAAATGAACATGTTGTGCACACACAAAAGACATTCTTGGGCCCTTATCTAACACCACATACAAAAATTAATTCAATATGGATCAAAGACCTAAAGATCTAAAACTAAAAAACTTTTAGACAAAAACATAGCATAAAGATTCATGACATTGGCTTTGACAATGATTTCTCAGATATGAACAAAAACCACAGACAACAAAGAAAAAAAATAAATTGGACTTCAAAATTTTTGAAATTTGGACATCAAAGGACACTGTCACCAGAGTAAAAAAGCAACTCAAAGAATGGACTAAAGTATTTGAAAAATCACATATCTGATAAGGGAGTAATATTCAAAATATAGGAAGTTGTAAAACTCAACAACAAAAAAATAAACAATTTAAAAATGAGCTAAGGACTTGAATAGATATTTCTCCAAAGAAAATGTACAAATAACCAATAAGCACATGAAAAGATGCTCAACATCACTCATCATTGGGAAAATGCAACCCAAAGCTACAATAAGATACCACCTTACACCATCAGGATGACTATTATTATTATTATTATTTTGAGACAAAGTCTCCCTCTGTTGCCCAAGCTGGAGTGCAATGGCGCAATCTCAGCTCACTGCAACCTCCGCCTCCCAGATTCAAGCGATTCTCCTACATCAGCTTCCCAAGTAGCTGGGATTACAGGTGCCTGCCACCACGCCCAACTAATTTTTGTATTTTTAGTAGAGACGGAGTTTCACCATGCTGGCCAAGCTGGTCTTGAACTCCTGACATCAGGTGATCCGCCACCTTGGCCTCCCAAAGTGCTGGGATAAAATAGAAAACAAGTGTTAGTGAGAATGTGGAGAAATCAGGACCTTTATGCGTTGACGGTGAGAATGTAAAATGGTATAGCCACTATGGAAAACAGTATGGCAGTTGCTCAAAAAATTAAACATAGAATTATTATTTGATCTAGCAATTCTACTTCTGGGTATATACACAAAAAGATTAAAAGTAAAGATTTCAATAGATATTTGTAGATCCATGTTTACAGCATTGTTATAATCATCATCATTATCATCATCATTGCTACTTATGAGACTAAAGAATCTGGTGATTTCGGGGGTTTTTTGTTTGTTTTTTGTTTTTTTCTTCTAAATACAGGGTCTCACTATGTTGCCCAGGCTGGATTCAAACTCCCAGGCTCGAGCAATCTTCCTGCCTCAGCCACACAGGTAGCTAGGACTACAGGCATGCCCTCACTGCTCCTGGCCACAACAGCATTACTCACAGCCAAAAGGTGGAAATAACTCAAATGTTCATGAACAGATAAATAGATAAATAAAATCTGGCATATTCTCACAGTGGAATATTACTCAATCTTAAAAGGAATGAAATTCTGATACATGCTACAACATGGATGAAACTTGAAGACATGCTAAATGAAATAAGCCAGACACAAAAAGACAAATATTATATGACTCCATTTCTATGAGGTACCTAAAGTAGTCAAATTCAAAGAAAGTAGTACAGTGTTTACCAGGGCTGGGGAGAGGGAGAAATGGGGAGCTATCATTTACTGGGTAAGTACATTCACACTTACGTGCAACCAACGCCATGTGAATCTCCAGAACTTTTCCTTCCGAAAAAGTTTGTTCCTTCTTCAGAAAAAATTCTGGAGATTCATATGGGTGTTGGTTGCATGTAAGTGGGAATGTACTTAATTCCACTGAACTGCACATTTTTTAATGATTGAAATGGTAAATTTAATGTAATTTATATTTTGCTACAATAAAAATACATAAGTGTATGTATTCACACATAAGAGTCAATGTACTTAAGTCCACTGAACTGTACATTTTTAATTGATTGAAATGGTAAATTTAATGTAATTTATATTTTACTACGATAAAAAATAATTTTTAATGAACACAGAAAATAGTGATAAATACTATAAAATGAGGACAAATAATCTTTTCCAGAGTTTTCTTCAGACAGCCTGTCTAAAATTTCAATTCTATTCCCACCCTGATACTTCTTATCTTCTATGTCAGCTTTATTTTTTCCTTATGGTTTATTACTATCTAATATTCTATAAATGTAACTTTATTTTTAGTGTTTGCTTTCCTCCTTAGAATGTAAGCTCCAAAAAGGTAGAAACTTTTGCCTAGTTTGTTAATTGCCTTAAGTGAATAGAACACATGGTAAATGCTCAATAAATATTTTTGATTGAGTGGATAAAATGCCAAAGGAAATGAGAGGAAGGAAAAATGACTTCCTGAGCAATTGAAGGAAATCTTTAATGACAATGTAGATTTAGCATTGCCATTTTGTTCATTGTGTTCTAGTTGTTCGGCAGAATCATTGCCCCTTTCTTCCTCTCTTGCTGGCTTTTTAAAAATAATTTAATAACTTTTTGGCAGGCATGGTGGCTCACACCTGTAATCCCAGCACTTTGGGAGGCTGAGGGTGGTGGATCACGAGGTCAGGAGATCGAGACCCTCCTAGCTAACATGGTGAAACCCCATTTCTAATAAAAATACAAAAAAATTAGCCGAGCATGGTGGCACATGCCTGTAGTCCCAGCTATTTGGGAGCCTGAGGCAGGAGAATTGCTTGAGCCCGGGAGGCAGAGGTTGAAGTGAGCTGAGATCGCGCCACTGCACTCCAGCCTGGGCTACAGGGTGAGACTTTGTCTCAAATAAAAATAATTTAATAATTTTTAAAATAATGGTATGCTTTGATTCCTTTCTCTTTATCTTTTGCGTATATCTACCATAGGTTTTTGGTTTGTAGTTACCATGAAGCTAGTATAACATTGTATAGTTATACTAGTCTATTTTAGGATGATAACAACTTAACTTTGATCACGAACAAAAGTTCTGTACTTATCCTCCCATTTTATATTTTGATATTTCACTTAATGTCTGTTTATATTGTGTATCTGTTAACAAGTTGGTGGAGTTATAGTCATTTTTAATACTTTTGTGTTTCAACCTTTATCCTAGAGTTGAAAGTGATTTACATACCATCATTACAATAGTTGAGTATTTTGAATTTGACTATTATTTGCCTTTACCAGTGAATTTTACATTTTCATATGATTTTATGTTACTAATTAGAGTTCTTTCATTTCAGCTTGAAGAACTCTTTAATGTTTCAGATCTAGCGGTGATAAATTCTTCAGCTTGTTTGTCTTGGAAAGTAGTTCACTCTCATTTTTGAAAGAAAGTTTCTTAGAATAAAGCATTCTCGGTTGGCAGCATTTTCTCTCAGCACTTTGAATATAACATCCTACTCTTTCTTGGTCTGTAAAATTTCTGCTGTGAAATTCACTGATAGCTTGATTCAGATCACTATGTATGTCATATGCTTCACATAGTACTTTCAAGGATGCATAGAATTTGAATTATTGAGAGGCAAGAGTTATCTGCCCATCAGAGAGGCAAAAAAGAAAATTATAGAACCTATTAAGTATTGGCTGGGGTAGGGGAAACTGCTACTTCCAAATAGTGTTGCTAGAAGTGTACATTAATGCAGCAATTTGGATGAAATTTTAGTAGAATATATTAAGTTTAAAATATACATTCTCTATGACCTAGATAGCTCAATTTTTTGTGCCTGTCATGGAGAAATTTTTAGACATATGCAGAGAGGAAGAAAACTGAGGCACAAAAAGAATAACTAACTTGATAAGGGTTATTTCATAATTGACATGAGGGTTAAAAGTTAATCTGTAAGACATTTAGAAGAGGCCTTGGCACATAATAAGTACTATATAAGCATTTGCTCCCATTTTTATTAGTTAATTGTACTTTATTAATAAATTTTCTGTGTAGTTTTTCTGCTTTGCTTAGTTGGCTCTTAACGCTTTCATTTTCAAGCTGTAGTTTTGTATATTAAAGATGTTAAATTTGTCATATGTTGAAAATAGTTTTCAGTTGCATGTTTTTTTTATTTTATAGGTTTGTTTTGGTTTTTTTTTTTTTTTTTTTGAGACTGAGTTTCACTCGTTACCCAGGCTGGAGTGCAATGGCGCGATCTTGGCTCACTGCAACCTCTGCCTCCCAGGTTCAAGTGATTCTCCTGCTTCAGCCTCCCAAGTAGCTGGGATTACAGGCATACGCCACCACGCCTGGCTAATTTTTTGTATCTTTAGTAGATACAGGGTTTCACCATGTTGGCCAGGCTGGTCTTGAACTCCTGATCTCGTGATCCACCCACCTCAGCCTCCCAAAGTGCTGGGATTACAGGCATAAGCCACCGTGACCAGCCTCTTTATGTTTTATTACATAATGAGATATTAAAACTTTTATGAAGTCAATTCCATTGTGAATATTTTTTAAACTAGAATATTTGCTGCCAGTCAGAAATTTTGCAAATATTTGCTTATTTCTTCTGTTTTCATAGTCTGACTTTTTACATTTACTAATTCGTCTGGAATATTTATTTATTTATTTTTAAATAGAGGGTCTCGCTCTGTTGCCCAGGAGAAAGTGGAGTGGTACAATCTTGACTCACTGCAGCCTTGACCTCCTGGGCTCAGGTGATCCTCCCACCTTAGCCTTCCGGGTGGCTGGGACTATAGGCACACACCACCACACCTGGCTTATTTTTTGTGGAGACGGAGTTTCACAATATTGCCCAGGCTGGTCATCCATCTGGAATTTATGTAAGTGTACATCAATAGGTTTTTATTAGTTTCCTAAGGATGTCACACCAAATTACCACAAACTGGGTGGATTAAAACAAAAGAAATTTATTGAGTTCCAATTCTGGAGATTAGAAGTCTGAATTCAATTGCCAGCAAGGCCATTGGTCTCTCTGAGGAACGATTCTTCCTTACCTCTTTCTGACTTCTGGTAGTTGCTAATAATTCTTAATGTTCCCTTGGGTTGTAGCAATATCACTCCAATCTCTGCCTTCATCATCATATGGCATGCTTCTTTGTGTCTGTTTCCAAATTTCTGTCCTTATAAGGATACAAGTTATTGGATTCAGGCCCACCCTAATCCAGTATGACAGCATCTTAATTTGATAATATCTTTAAGACTCTATTTCCAAATAAAGTCATATTCACCGGTACCAAGGATTAGAATTTGAGCACATCTTTTGGGAGGACACGATTCAACCCACAACACCTTTTAAATACCCAACAAATTATTCCAGCCCTGACACTTTTCCCTATTAAAGATTGTTAACTAATGTTTTATTGTGCCATTAGATCACATATTAAATGAATATATACTAGTGTCTCTTTCAGGCTTTTGTTTTTGACTTTGTGATCTATCTGTCCATTCTTGTACCACTATGAGAGGGAGATATATCTTTAAGTGGTTTTTAATAATTTTGACAAGTAGTTGAATGTGAAGATTTAAAAATGTCATATGATGCAACAACACAACTCAATTATTTCCCTCTGCCAAAAATCTGTACTCTGACCAGCAGTCTTCTTTGTTTCTGACTTCCTTAGAGCCACTGGTTTTGTCATGAAAGTTATGTAGAAGATTTAGAGACACAATTTTTGCTATGATTAGGAGCATGTCCCATTCACAGACCCCCTATGTTTTTGGTTTTATTTTTAACTAAGTTACCATGTGGGCTACATTGGAACTTCAGTGAGGAAACAAAGAAAGAATGAGACCGGCTGGAAATACAATGGGAACAAGAAACTATAAAATCAATTTCACACAATATTCATATATGCAAGAAAAGATGTATCCAGGCTGGGCGCGGTGGCTCACGTCTGTAATCCCAGCACTTTGGGAGGCCAAGGCGGGCGGATCACCTGAGGCTGGGAGTTCAAGACCAGCCTGACCAACATGGAGAAACCCCGTTTCTACTAAAAATACAAAATTAGCCGGGTGTGGTGGTACATGTCTGTAATCCCAGCTACTCAGGAGGCTGAGGCAGGAGAATTGCTTGAACCTGGGAGGCAGAAGTTGCGGTGTGCTGAGATCATGCCATTGCACTCCAGCCTGGGCAACAAGAGTGAAATTCCGTCTCAAAAAAGAAAAAAAAAGAAAGAAAGAAAGAAAGAAAAGATGTATCTGTGGGATAACTGATATCTAAACGTTAAACACTTCAGGTCCTGGGGCTCTCCTTAATTATGGTTGACGCTTGAACAACACGGGTTTGAACGGTGAGGGTCCACTTATACATGAATTATCTTCCACCTCTGCCATCCTGAGACAGCAATACCAACTCCTCCTCTTTCCCCTCCTCCTTAGCCCACTCAACATGAAGATGATGAGGATGAAGACCTTTATAATGATCCACTTTCACTTAATGAATAGTAAATATATTTTCTCTTCCTTATGATTTACTTAACATTTCTTGTCCTCTATTCTTTGTTGTGAGAATACAGTATATAATACATTTGACATATTAAATATGTGTTAACCTTTTATGTTATCCATAAGGCTTCCAATCAACAGTAGGCTGTTAGTAGTTAAGTTCTGGGGGATTCAAAAGTTATATGCACATTTTTAACGGTGTGGGAGTCAGCAACCTTAACCCATGTTATTTAATAATACACAGGTGGTTTAATTATAAACCCCTGTGTTTATAATACATAGTGTAACAGCTCTGCAAAACACAGGCAAGCTTGTATTGCAAAATTACAAATATAATAAGCATGGGTCCATAAGAAGGAACCCATTTAAAGTTTTTTTAAGTACATTTAAAGTTTTTTTTTGTTCTTTGTTTTTTTGTCTGTTTTTTTGAGAGAGTCTCGCTCTGTCACCCAGACTGGAGTGCAGTGGCAGGATCTCGGCTCACTGCAAACTCTGCCTCCCGGGTTCAAGCAATTCTCCTGCCTCAGCTTCCCAAGTAGCTGGGATTACAGACGCCCACCATCACGCCCAGCTAATTTTTGTATTTTTAGTAAAGACAGGGTTTCACCATGTTGGCCAAGATGGTCACAAACCCGCCTGCCTTGGCCTCCCAAAGTGCTGGGATTACAGGCGTGAGCCACCGCTCCCAGTCATAAAGTTGTTTGTTTGTTTGTTTTTAATGTAGTACTCTACATAAAGTTCTTCCAACAAGAAGCCCACATAACTGTACTAATTTACTCAGAATTTATTTTGTGAGAAGATAGTATTCTAATGCTAATACAATTTTCAGAGCACGTATCCAAAACATTTACTAGACAACCAGCTGTAAAAGTAGGATATAGGGAGAGCTGGAAAGATGATGAGTCCCTTGTCCACATCCCACCCCACCCAGAGCCTATCAGGTCTCACAAGCTTTCTGGAACATTCCTTAGTCCCGGTACATAACACAGGTTTTTATTTATCTCTCTTGGTAGGGCTCCTCAGGTCAGAGATTCAAAGACTCACCCAACATAGGGCCTGACATGTCACCACATCCCAAGAAACATTGGAGAATAAATGATAATAAGTTTATTAACAAATAAACACAATTTCAACAAAAGGCCAGCCATGATTTTTAGCTCCAAAGATATGCCAGGAATACTTGAAATATATCATGTATTAAAATCAGCTTTAGCTGAAAATTTAAAAAAAAATGAGAAAAAGAATGTTAGGGAGAAAAAAACTATTTAAACATATTGAACTTTAGCAAAAGATCTATTTCACAATTTATTGTGAACAACTTTTCTACTCTCTCTTGCAAAACTACTGAGAAAATCAGTTCAAATGAGAAAAAGGAATGTTGAGTTGCGTAAACGGTGTTGTTTAAACATAAAAAATGTGAATGCCAGACTTTTGCCCCAGTAGCTCGCTGACTGCACCATAAAACCAATTTTCCAAATCATAGTTAGGTAGCTAAGATGAGAATGGCTTAGTTTTAGGGCTATTCATGTATAATTGGCAAGACTTTGGTGTGTACAAGAATTAAAATTCTGGAAGTTAAAAACCACCTGTACGGCTAAGTGGCTTTCCAAATGCTTGTAACAAGTGTAAACTCATCAGAAAACTATGAAAACACCATTTCAATCCACTTTTGATATTATTGCAGGTTATTAAGTCTTGATTGTTTAATTTTTTTATATAACAATATCATCGTGTTTCAGTTTGCTTTGTTTTGATGGCTAAGTTTTCCTTTCATTATTAATTGAGCTCATTCTCTGCTTCACTTCTGTACTTCACTAAGTACACTTCCTGGTGCTTAAAGAATGTGACAAAGATCTCTGTCTTCTAACAGGGGAGGTGACACTACACAATAAATATAATAAATAAATGATGTAGTGTGTTAGAAGATAAGTTTAAAGGGAGGGAAAAGAAAAGCAGGCTAAGGGGCATTGGAGAAAGCTGCACTGGGAAGTGTTGGGCATTTTGTTGTATGAAATAAGGGCTCAGGGTAGGGTTCATTGAGAAGGTGGGATGTGAACAAAGATTAGGACAAGTTAAGGAGAGGGCAGATAACTGCAGGGGGGGTTGGCATGGTGCAAGTGGCATCCCCATGACAGCTAGGGAAGTGAACTGCTCAGACTGCACTTCCAAAGAAACAAAAAAGCAAAACTTAGCTGTGAGAAGCACAATTAACTGGCAGCTCTTTCAGGGCAGCCCCTAGCTACTGAGCATGGTGACAACACCAGAATCTGGCAGTTTTGTCCACTGACTGCTGGGATGGGCAGTGTTGACTCCAGACCTGCCCATTAGGTTGGTTGAAACTGTCTGATCTACATCACAGTCTGACTCTCTCTCTCTGCCCAATTGTGCTTCCTTTCTACTTTCCTTTCAAAGGAAATATTATCACCATTGTCTAAAGGCTTTCCTTACCAAATCCTGCTTCCTCCCTTCTATTTTTCACAACTGATAACCATCAAAAAAAAAAAGACTACTATTCCTAACTGTTTTGGTGTCTGCTTCCCAGGTACCTGAACTTACACAGTGACTGAACAACAAATAAGAGATTTACAAGGATGAGAAACTTGAGCTGTAAGCAGCAGGATGGAGGTTGAAGAAGCCCGAAGTCTAAGAAGACAAAGATTATAATAATAATAATAATTATTATTATTGGTTGGCCGGGCTGGTCTCCAGCTCCTAACCGCGAGTGATCCGCCAGCCTCGGCCTCCCGAGGTGCCAGGATGGCAGACGGAGTCGCGTTCACTCAGTGTTCAATGGTGCCCAGGCTGGAGTGCAGTGGCGTGATCTCGGCTCGCTACAACCTCCACCTCCCAGCTGCCTGCCTTGGCCCCCGAAAGTGCCGAGATTGCAGCCTCTGCCCGGCCGCCACCCCGTCTGGGAAGTGAGGAGCGTCTCTGCCTGGCCGCCCATCGTCTGGGATGTGAGTAGCCTCTCTGTCTGGCTGCCCAGTCTGGAAAGTGAGGAGCGTCTCTGCCCGGCCGCCCATCGTCTGAGATGTGGGGAGCGCCTCTGCCCTGCCGCCCCGTCTGGGATGTGAGGAGCGTCTCTGCCCGGCCACCCCGTCTGAGAAGTGAGGAGACCCTCTGCCTGGCAACCGCCCCGTTTGAGAAGTGAGGAGCCCCTCCGCCCGGCAGCCACACCGTCTGAGAAGTGAGGAGCCCCTCCGCCCAGCAGCCACCCCGTCTGGGAAGTGAGGAGCCTCTCCGCCCGGCAGCCACCCCGTCCGGGAGGGAGGTGGGGGTCAGCCCCCCGCCCGGCCAGCCGCCCCCTCCGGAAGGGAGGTGGGGGGGTTAGCCCCGCGCCCGGCCAGCCGCCCCGTCCGGGAGGGAGGTGGGGGGGTCAGCCCCCCGCCCGGCCAGCCGCCCCGTCCGGGAGGTGAGGGGCGCCTCTGCCCGGCCGCCCCTACTAGGAAGTGAGGAGCCCCTCTGCCCGGCCAGCCGCCCTGTCCGGGAAGGAGGTGGGGGGGTCAGCCCCCCGCCCGGCCAGCCGCCCCGTCCGGGAGGTGAGGGGCGCCTCTGCCCGGCCGCCCCTACTGGGAAGAGAGGAGCCCCTCTGCCCGGCCAGCCGCCCCGTCCGGGAGGGAGGTGGGGGGGTCAGCCCCCCGCCCGGCCAGCCGCCCCGTCCGGGAGGGAGGTGGGGGGTATCAGCCCCCCGCCCAGCCAGCCACCCCGTCCAGGAGGGAGGTGGGGGGGTCAGCCCCCCACCCGGCCAGCCGCCACGTCCGGGAGGTGAGGGGCGCCTCTGCCCGGCCGCCCCTACTGGGAAGTGAGGAGCCCCTCTGCCCGGCCAGCCGCCCCGTCCGGGAGGGAGGTGGGGGGGTCAGCCCCCCGCCCAGCCAGCCGCCACGTCCGGGAGGTGAGGGGCGCCTCTGCCCGGCCGCCCCTACTGGGAAGTGAGGAGCCCCTCTGCCCGGCCAGCCGCCCCGTCCAGGAGGGAGGTGGGGGGGGTCAGCCCCCCCGCCCGGCCAGCCGCCCCATCCGGGAGGTGAGGGGTGCCTCTGCCCGGCCGCCCCTACTGGGAAGTGAGGAGCCCCTCTGCCCGGCCACCACCCCGTCTGGGAGGTGTACTCAACAGCTCATTGAGAACGGGCCATGATGACAATGGCGGTTTTGTGGAATAGAAAGGCGGGAAAGGTGGGGAAAAGATTGAGAAATCGGATGGTTGCCGTGTCTGTGTAGAAAGAGGTAGACATGGGAGACTTTTCATTTTGTTCTGTACTAAGAAAAATTCTTCTGCCTTGGGATCCTGTTGATCTGTGACCTTACCCCCAACCCTGTGCTCTCTGAAACATGTGCTGTGTCCACTCAGGGTTGAATGGATTAAGGGTGGTGCAAGATGTGCTTTGTTAAACAGATGCTTGAAGGCAGCATGCTCGTTAAGAGTCATCACCACTCCCTAATCTCAAGTACCCAGGGACACAAACACTGCGGAAGGCCGCAGGGTCCTTTACCTAGGAAAACCAGAGACCTTTGTTCACTTGTTTATCTGCTGACCTTCCCTCCACTATTGTCCTGTGACCCTGCCAAATCCCCCTCTGCGAGAAACACCCAAGAATGATCAATAAAATAAATAAATAAATAAATAAATAAAATAAAATAAAATAGCACAATTATAACAATATAAAAAAAAAAAAAAAAAAAAATTATTATTATTATTATTATTCTTATTTTGAGACAGGGTCTCATGCTGTCACCCAAGCTGGAGTGCAATGGCACGATCACAGCTCACTGCAGCCTCAACCTCCCAGGCTCAAGTGATATTTCCACCTCAGCCTCCTCAGTAGCTGGGATCACAGGCATGTGCCACCACACCCAGCTAATTTTTTTTTATTTTTTTGTAGAGGCGGAGTCTCCCTATGTTGCTCATGCTGGTCTCAAACTCCTGCTGGATCACTCAAGTGATCCTCCCACCTCAGCCTCCCAAAGTGTTGGGATTACAGGCGTGAGACATGATGCACAGTCTGACAAAAGGTATTTTTAAAGTTTAATTGTTGCAGGCTGAAACTGTTTTTAAGTGTTTAATTGTGGGATGCTGAAATGCTTTCAATAATGAACATTTTTGTTACAATAAGGCACTGTTGTTATACTTTACAAAATGTCACCACTCTACAAGCATCTAGAATTTGGAAAGAGGTTCTATGAGCATAAAATGTATGTCATAAATCACCAATCTACTTATTAACAATGGGAAAAGGAACAATAGCTCAATGACTAGGCAGGTACTGTGACTTCTATTGTTACGGTTTCTTTCTAATTTGGTCTGAAGCTCTCTCTCTTGACAATGGCCACAAGCCAAGATAGCCACTCTCTAGAAGAGCCCTGACTGGGGCGAAGTTAGCTTTGGTGTGTTGGTCAGGGGAGACACAACGAGGAAGTGAAGCCAAAATGCACGAAACAGAATAAATTTATTACTTATAGATCCCAGAGGTATTAGGGGTGCTGAGAAAGTCTGGAGGTGGCAGAGAGCTCAACCAGTGGGTGGAGAGAGAAAGAGACAGAGAGGGAAAATGGGAGAGCGAGAAAGAAGGAGACAGAAGGAGGGAGAAGGAGTGCAGTGGGAGAAAGAAGACAGGGGGAGAAGAAGGGAGGGAGAGAGAGGACCTGGGAGGCTATGCCTTTATTAAGGTCCATGATCACTATCCCTTAGGCTTTGGTGAAGAGGGCTGGGGATTGGCTAGTTTAAAGAAAACAAATGCAAAAGGGGAAACTACTTACTTGCCCGTGGTGTTGACCATTAGGTTTTATCATGGTCAGCATCTGTGGAACCTGCTGGGATTGGGGTTAGCAAGATGGGGAGCAGAAAGGCTATATCTCAAACAACCACAAGGGGAAATTTTTGAGGTTTTGTTTTTGTTTGTTTGTTTTAGAGACAGGATCTCACTCTGTCACCCATGCTGGAGTGCAGTGACATGATCATAGATCACTGACATGATCATAGCCCTCCTGGGCTCAAGTAACCCTCCTGTCTCAGCCTCCTGAGTAGCTGCCACTACAGGCACACACCACCACACTTGGCTAATTTTTAAATTTTTTGTAGAGATGGCGTCTTGCTCTGTTGTCCAAGATAGTCTCAAACTCGGGGCTTCAAGCAATCCTCCCACCTCAGCCTCCCAAAGTGCTGGGATTACAGCCATGAGCCACAGCACCCGGCCGGGGGGGATGTTTTAATTAAGCCCAAGGTGATAGGGTACAACTGGGTTTCAAACAACTTATGTCAAGCCTAAAAATGGACGCCAAGACTACAACTATATTAAATAAATTTATGCAGTGTGTGTTCTGCCTACAAGAAGCGGTTAAGTGAAACACTTATTTTCCTTAATAGGATCCAGAATCAAACTTTGCCTATTATCGTATTTCTGACACAATGCCTGGTACAGAATAGGTGCTCAGAGAATATTTGCTGGATAGATTGATGTCTGCAGAACACTGTGAGTCAGGGTAGACAGATGTGAGTGAGGAGGATCAGAAAATGCCTAGGAAGTTTCCTAACATGAACGTGCATTCCATGAGCCTCTTTCTCTCACATACCACATCAATTCCATCAGCAAAGCCTGTCAGCTGTAGTTTCAATAAATCCAGAACCCAACCGCTTCTTACCGCTTGTACAGCTTCCACCCTGATATGAGTCACCACTCTCTTCTGAATTATTGCAATAACCTCCTAACTGGCTTCTTTCCATCCATCCTTGCCTTCCTCTAGGGAATTCTCCATACAGTAATCAGAGCAATTCTTTCAAAACATAAGTCAGATCATGTCACTTCTCTGTCTTAAACCCTCCAATGACTTTCTATGTTACTCAGAACTAAAACCGAAGCCTTTACAATGGCTCTCAGCCCACTGTCCCACCTCCCCTTGTCTCTCTCCTCCTTGCTTCCTTGGCTCCTTCACCTCCCCTCCTTGCTATTCCTCCGATACACCAAGGATGCTCCTATACCATGGCCTGGCATCTGCACGTAATAAGTGCTATATAAATATGAACATTTACGGCTATTATTGCTGTTCCCTTTATTCAGTTCTCTCTCTTTCCCTAGCATTGGCATGACTGGCTTCCTTGCTTCGCACTACTCCAATATCACTTGATTAAGGAGACTTTTCTTCATTAACTGGTACATCAATCTGGGCCTCAGCAGAAAAACAGACATCACATTGCTATTTTTGGTGGTGAATTGTATTCTCCCAAAGATATGGTGAGAACTGAAACCCCAGCACCTCAGAATGTGACCTTATTTGGAAATGGGGTCATTGCAGATACAACTAGTTAGACAAAGTCATACAGGAGTAGACAGGGACCCTTAATCCAATATGACTGGTGTCCTCATAAGAAGAGACATAGGGATGTGGACACACAAGGGCAGATTATGATGGAGGCAGAAACCAAAGTGCTGCAGCTGCAAGCCACAGAACGCCAAGGATCGTTGGAAAAGCACCAGAAGCTAGAAAGAGATGAGGAAGAATTCTCCCAAATCTCAGAGGGAATACAGCCCTATCAACACCTTGATTTTGAATTTCAAGCCACCAGAAATGTGAAAATGTGAAAAATATTTTTTTTTTTTTTTGATACGAAGTTTCACTCTTGTTGCCTAGGCTGGAGTTCAATGGTGTGATCTTGGCTCACTGCTACCTCCACCTCCTGGGTTCAAGCGATTTACCTGCCTCAGCCTCCCGAGTAGCTGGGATTACAGGCATGTGCCACCACGCCCGGCTAATTTTGTATTTTTGGTAGAGATGGGGTTTTTCCATGTTAGTCAGGCTGGTCTCGAACTCCCGACCTCAGGTGATCCGCCCGCTTCAGCCTCCCAATGTGCTGGGATTACAGGTGTGAGCCACTGCACCTGGCCAAATTTTGATTATTTTAAGCCACCCAATCTGTGGTACTTTGTTATGGCAGCCCTAAGAAACTAATAATGGATATACTGAAAACATTCACGCAACAGACGCTTTGCAATGATGTGGGAGAGAGCACAGGGAAACTGCAGGGAGAGTACATTTCCCTGGAGTGAGAAATAAGGTCCCTCTAGGCTTGAGGGGGCAAAGTGAGGAGCAGTTACCAGAATCACCTGGGGAAAAGCCACCCTTCAGAAGCAATGACCCTGTATCAAGTGCACTGCCAAACTCAAAGAGGAATAAATTCCCTAACTTCACTCTCCTCCCTCAAACCTATCTCCTGCAGAGATGCCCCAGGAAGCCAATTGCGGTAGTCCTACAGATCAGCCTTCTTGGGGCTAATTTCTGGGTGAAGAAGGAGACAAAAATAATACTGGGGGTGGGGTGGGAATAAAACATAAATGGAACAATCTGTAAAGCAATATTCCTTTTCCAGAGCACTATTCATCCTCTTCATGCATTTTCTTAAAATGGTGCTTATCATCTGATGTATAATTTTTTTATTTTTAGTGTATTATCAGTTTATTATCATACTAGAATATAAACTCCATGGGTGCAAGGATTTCGTTCTGTTTCCTACTGAATCCTTAAAAATTATTTGTTGGACAAATGAATTGTCTAGTCTGGCATTTTTACACTGGATTTTTTAAGTCAGCAGCTGCTGTATCTCTCTTGCTCAGCCTCTTCCCTAAAACCATTTGATGGATTTCCAAAAATGCAAGCAATGCTTGTTATGAAGCATTTGGAATTTAATCTTGGCCCAATAGCTCTAGAAGCGAGGCTCCAGGCCTATCCTACAATGCCTTGCTGACAAGAGCTTCATCTTGATGGTTTTTGTGTCTTGGAGTAGGGGTGGAGGTCTTATTATCTAGCACGTCTAGTGTGCAGTTTTTCTAGAAATTCAAAACAAAATTTCATCTTAACATTGTACTTCAGAAAAATGATACTGTGCAAACATTTTAATTAATTGACATCTAAAATCTACTGTTGCCACAACTGCAGTCATGTGCCACATGACATTTTAGTCCATGCTGAACCATATTTATGCATGACATTTTGATGGAGCTAAAAAATTCCTATCACCTAGTGATATCTTGGGTGTCATAACGTCAAAGTGCTATGCATTACTCACGTTTGTGGTGATGCTGGTGTAAACATACCTACTGCACTGCAAGTCACATAAAAGTCTAGCACATAAAATTATGTATTGTATGTAGTACCTGATGATAAATGATTGTTACTGGTTTATGCACTAACATACTACACTTTTAAAATTTTGAGACAAGGTCTCACTCTGTCTCCCAGGCTGGAGTGCAGTGGCACGATCATGGCTCACTGAAGCCTCGACCTCCTGGACTCTAGGGATCCTCCCACCTCAGCCTCCAGAGTAACTGGGACCACAGGCGTGCACCACCATGCCTGGCTAATTAAATAAAAATTTTTTTTGTAGAGATGAAGTCTTCCTATGTTGCCCAGGCTGATCTTGAACTCCTGGGCTCAAGCTATCCTTCCATTTCAGCCTTCCAAAGTGTTGAAATTACAGGCGTGAGCCACAGTGCCCAGCTTGTACTATACTTTTTTTTTGAGACAGGATCTTGCTCCGTAGCCTAGGCTGGAATGCAGTGGTGCAATCTTGGCTCACTGCAACCTCCGCTTCCCGTCCTCAGGTGATCCTCCCACCTCAGCCTCCCAAGTAGCAGAGACTACAGGTGTGTGCCACCACACTTGGCAATTTTTATTTTTTGTAGAGAAAGGGTCTTGCCATGTTGCCCAGGCTGGTCTCAAGCTCCTGGACTCATGCATTCTGCCTGTCTCGGCCTCCCAAAGTGCTGGGATTACAGGCATGAGCCACTGCGCCTGGCCTTGTAGTATATTTTTTATTGTTCTTTTAGAGTGTACTCCTTCCACCTATATAACAAAAGTTAACTATAATACAGCCTCAGGCAGGTCCTTCAGGAGGTATTCCAGAAGAAGGCATTGTTATCATAGGACATGACAGCTCCATGGGTGTTACTGCCCTTGAGGCCCTTCAGTTTGACAAGATGTGGAGGTACAAGATGGTGATATTGATGATCCTAAAGGCTTAGGCTAATGTGTGTTTCTTAGTTCTTAACAACGACAAAAAGTTTAAAAAGTAAAAAAACAAAAAAAGAAAAAAAATGGCCAGAGGCAATGGCTCGTGCTTGTAATCCTAGCATTTTGGGAGGCTAAAGTGGGAGGATCTCTTGAGGCCAGGAGTTCGAGACTGCAGTGAGCTATGATGATGCCACTGCCCTCCAGCCTACATGACAGAGCAAGGTCCTGTCTCAAAAAAAAAAAAAAAAAAAAAAAGCTTATAGAATAAGGATATAAAGAAAATATTTTTTATTTTTTATAGCTGTACAATGTTTGTATTATAAGCTGTTATTACCAGTCAAAAAGTTAAAAAAAAATTAGAAGTTCATAAAGTTACAGCAAGCTAATTTATTATTGAAAAAAGAAACACTTTAGAGTAGCCTAGGTGTGCAGTGTTTATAAAGTCTATAGTAGTGTACAGTAACACTCTAGACTTTCACATTCACACACCAGTCACTCACTGATTCACCCAGAGCATTTTCCAGTCCTGAAATCTCCATTCATGATAAGCGCCCTACACAGGTGTGCCATTTTTAATCTTTTTATACCACTTTTTTAACCATACCTTTTCTATGTTTAGATACACAAGTACTTACCATTGTGTTACAATTATCTACAGTACTCAGTACAGTAACACGCTGTGCAGGTTTGTAGCCCAGGAGCAATACATTATACCATATATCCAAGGTGTGTAGTAGGCTATACCACCTAGGCTGTATATGTACATTCTCCGATGTTTGCACAACAACCGAATTGCCTAATGACACACTTCTCAGAACAAATTTCTTCATTAAGTGACGCATGACTGTATTTGTGGAAACATATTCTTTTTTTTTTTTTTTTTGAGACAGAGGCTCACCCTGTTGCCCAGTGCAGTGGCGCTATCTCAGCTCACTGCAACCTCTGCCTCCCGGGTTCAAGCGATTCTTGTGCCTCAGCCTCCCAAGTAGCTGGGACTACAGGCACGCGCCACCACGCCCAGCTAACTTTTGTATTTTTAGTAGCGATGGGGTTTCACCATATTGCCCAGGCTGGTCTCGAACTCCTGAGCTCGTGATTCACCCATCTTGGCCTCCCAAAGTGCTGGGATTACAGGTGTGAGCCACCACACCCAGCTGGAGAAATATATTCTTTTATATATCTAGAAAGTTTCTAAGAACTCAAAACAATGCTTACTTCTAGGGAGGTGGGAGGAGGACTTTTATTTTCAATCAATCCCTCCCTTTCTACATTGGCTTTTTTTTTCCTTTTGCCACGAGCAAAAAAAAACTTTTTTTTTTTTGCATGCACTAATATATGTAAAGGCATCTCTCTCCTTTTTTTTCTGCAGACAGTAACAGTTGTAGCAGGAAACTTTTAATATTACAACTGTACAGCATATTTTAAAATATTTTCACATTTTCTTACAACTGTTGTAAATTATAACTAAAATGACCTTACCATGCTTTCAAACAACATGTATAGAGTATCCACATTGTGCTAGCTCCTTCAGATAAGAAGATGCACAGGACTGACTCAGCCCCTGTCTCATGGAGTTTAGAACTGAGTTAGGAGTCAGTCAGCATACACTATTGAGCACCTACTGTGTTCTAGGCACTGTTGTAGGTGAAAACAGTCATGAATACGAGAGTCAGTGTCTCTCCCTAAAAAGTAAGTGGCTTGCCTAGAAAAAAGGCTTAGGTCAGGCGAGGACGCTCATGCCTATAATCCCAGCACTTTGGGAGGCCAAGGCAGGCAGATCACAAGGTCAGTAGTTCCAGACCAGCCTGGCCAATATGGTGAAACCCCATCTCTACTAAAAATACAAAATTAGCCAGGCATGGTGGCGGGCACCTGTAATCCCAGCTACTCGGGAGGCTGAGGCTGGAGAATCGCTTGAACCTGGGAGGCAGAGGTTGCAGTGAGCCGAGATTGCGCCACTGCACTCCAGCCTGGGCGACAGCAGAGCGATACTCCATCTCAAAAAAAGAAAAAGAAAAAAGGCTTAACACATGTTTAATATATATTATTAAATTGGTTGGAGAAGTCCTCTCTAAAAAAGTAAAATTGGAATTGGAACCTGAAGATGAAAAGGAGTTAGTTGTTCAAAGATCTGGGAAGATAGAGTTTCAAGCTGAAGGAACCTCAAGTGCAAAGGCCCTGAGGCTAGAACCAGCTTAACCTGTTTGAGGGTTGAAAGGGAAATGGATGACAGTGAATGAGTGGGTGAGAGAAGGAAAGAGATGAGGTCAGAGAAACTGGCAGGAGTCAGATCATGTGGGCTCTCCAAGGCCACGTAAAGAGTTTGACTTTTATTCTAAAATGTAATGAGATACTAAGCATAGATACAACATGCTCTGATTTATGGGTTTAAAAGGCCACTCTGGCTGCTGGGGAGGCTGTTGGGGGTAAAGGGTGGAAGCGGAGAGACCAGGTGGGACGCAGGTGAAGGATAATGATGGATTAGCTTAGGGCTGTAGAAGTAGAAACGGTGAAAAAAGGCTGACTTGGGGATATACTTTGGAGAATAAGGTTGACAGGGCTTGATAATGAATTGCATGTGGTGGTTGGGAGTGGGTGAGTGAGGGAAGAGAGTTATCAGGGATGAAGACCAGATTTTTGGTCTGAGCACCTGGGTAGACTGTGAGGCCATAAACTAAGATGGGGGAAAACTGGGAGAGGGGCAGTTTGCAGGGGGGAAGGAGGTCCAGAGAGAAATCAATTGTTCTCTTTGGCCACATTAAGTTTCAGAGGCTTGTTACATATTCAGGTGAAGATATTGCTTAGGCAATTGGCTAACTCTATAGCTAAGGGGAAAGGTCCAGGCTGGAGGTATTTCAAAACAAGGGCCAAGATGAAACCACCTGGTGACTACGAGTAGATACAGGAAGACAGAGGGCAGAAGATTGCATATTTAATTACTATGAAGGGAGTTATGTGTTGTGAAAGGGGAAATATCAGGTTAGTGGAGGGAGAAGCTGGTCAAGGAAAGTTTCTTGAAAACATTAAACCCAAGCTCCTTGAAGCCACTGAAAACCAAGCAGTGACATTGTATTAGTGAGGATGCTGTCCCAGAGAAGTAATTTGTAATTGGTCATAGAGCTAGTGGCCTGACTAGAACTGTGTTTTATACTTGAACTAAATCAAATGTGCCACAGGCACAGTATAAAACAGAGGAGAATAGCTGGGAGCGATGGCTCACATATAATCCCAGCACTTTGGGACTCCGAAGCAGGAGGATTACTTGAGCCCAGGAGTTCAAGACCAGCCCTGGCAACATAGGGAGAACATATCTGTACAAAAAAATAAAATATCAGCTGGGAAGCAGTGGTGTGTGTCTGTGGTCCCAGCTACTCAAGAGGCTGAGGTGGAAGGATCTCTTGAGCTCAGGAGGTTGACGCTGCAGTGAGCCGTGTTTGTGCTACAGCGCTCCAGCGTGGATGACAGTCAGACGCTTTAAAAAAATAAGAATAATCTTTAAAACAAAAAACAGGGGAATAGTGGCACACCCTGGGACACAGACTCTGGAGTCATTCTGTCTGAGGTCACATTGTGGATTTGCCATTTACTACTGGCTGGGTTATTCCAGGTGCATTACTCAACATCTCTGTACTTCAGTTTTCTATCTGTAAACGGACTTTCTACTAATAGCTAACTGCTTACAGACTGTTTATCATGATTTTACATACAATATTCAACTTCCCCCTCCAATAATCAATGAGTGACATTATTATTCTCATTCTACTGCTGAGGATCCAGAAGCACATTCACCCATTCCACAAATATTTACCGTGCACCTGCAATGTGCCAGGCATGTTCATGGGTGAACACAGCAAAATCTTTGCCTCTGTGCAGCTTCAGTCTGGGGTTCACAGGAAAAGGAGAAAGATGATAAACAAGAGATACGTACATTACAGGGTAATTATAAAGGGATACCCGCTATACAAGAAAACAGAGCAGGATAACAGAGATAGGAAGTTGGGATTTTAAGTAAGGCAGCCAGAACAGACCTCACCAAGAAGGCAATATCTGAGCAAGGATGTTAAGGGAGCCGGGGGCAACCTAGAATCCACCAGTGGGGAG
The DNA here is from genome assembly GCF_000001405.40 of Homo sapiens. NCBI lineage: Eukaryota > Metazoa > Chordata > Mammalia > Primates > Hominidae > Homo > Homo sapiens. The sequence continues at coordinate 107,282,584 of NC_000009.12, forward strand.
AGTAAGGCGACTCGGAGAAAGGCGAGGGGCTAATGCATCCGTTCTAATAACTCTGACTTTAACTCGGGGCTAGATGGGGAAACACTGGACAGTTCTACCCCGAGGTGTGACAGAACTTGACCTTCATTTTAAATCGGTCCATCTGTTTAGGCTAGTGAGAAAAAACAATATTTGAACTCGGGCAGTCCAGCTCAGGAGTCTGTGCTGTCGGGATTAAAGAATCAGTCGACACCCCCAGGGCTGAGCCCCGCAGCAAGCGCCCCGCGGGTGCTGGCCCCCAGACTGTGGTTACCGCCATCCTTTCACTTAAACTCCGCCCCGATTACTCCCCCGCTCCAGGGCTCCGCATCCACTCTGCCGGGTCTCCACGAAGCGCTTCCCGGGCTACACATTGCGTAACTTCGGCAGCCGGGCGGAGCCTGCACAGAGGCGGAGCCGCGGCAGCCGGAGAGAACGCCCCAGCAATAGTCGCTAGGAGGAAGCCCCAGGAGCCCTTGCCGCCCACGGAACGCGCCTGCGTAATCCGGGTCCAGGCCGCCGACATTCCAGGACCGCCTTCCGCCCCGCCCCCAATTCTGGGGCGGAGTCCTCGGCCGCGCCGGCGCAAAGCGTCGCCGCACCCCACGCCTGCGCGCTTCGCCCGCCCGGCCCCATCCCCCCAGGTTTTTCGCGTGGGGGAGGGGGCACGTCTCGGCGAGTCACGATGATGGCGGCCACCATCCTGTGGTGAGCTAGCGGATTCCCTGCTTGTCTCGCCGACCCCCTCGCGCCTTCTGCAGACTCCGTGGCTGGCGCTCGGCGCGTGAGGAAGCACGGCGGCCCGAGTTCGCGGGGAAGGCCGCAGTCGCGGAGGCAGCGGCGCGGTCCGGGGCACGGGCTGGGGGAGAGGCCGCTCCGCTGGGCGAATGTGACAAGCCCCCACCCCCACCGCCTTCCTCCCCAGAGCGCGAGGAGCGCGGGCGACCCCGGGGCCCCGCCAGGCCACAGACCCCGCCCAGCGGCCAGCACCCGGCGCAGGCCCGGCAGCCGAGCTGCGCGGCGGCACCATGCAGGTCACCCTGAAGACCCTCCAGCAGCAGACCTTCAAGATAGACATTGACCCCGAGGAGACGGTATGCGCGCGGGCCGGGGGCAGGGGCAGCCGCGTGCGGGCCGCGGGGAGCGCCAGGAGCTCGTGGGGCCGGGCGGCGCGCTCCAGCGGGGGAAGCCCCGGAGGGCGCGATGAGGGCCCTGGGTCCTGGTGCCGGCCCTGGCGGCGTACAGCGGAGCCGATCCTCCTGTCTTGGCCGTGGGCTTTGTGGCAGGAGAATGGGGAAGCAGTGGCCGGACGCCGAAGGCCTGGTGGCAGATGGCGTGGAGCGCACGCCCGCGGGCCTGGGCCTAGGAGCTCGTGCTAGCGGGGCCGGAGGGGGATGGGAAGGTCCAGGCCGTCTCAGCCGTAGAGCCTGGCTTTCTGGTATGGGTGCACAGGTGGGGGAGGGAGACGTAGGCGTCGCCACTACCCCTGTGTGGACCTGGTTAGCCGCTTAGTTCCCAGAGTTGGTAACCCGAGAAGATGAGCCTTAAGAAAAAAAAAAGTATCAGGTTCCGTTTGCCGCCGAGAGGTGAGTGGTGGTGAAAATGAATTTGCCCCTTTCCCCTCAGAATTGTTTACCCTTTTATTTGCAAATGAATCGTTCTGCTGCCTTCCTCCCGCCACCAAACCCACACCCTTGCGTAGATTGCACTTTGAGGCCTCTTTGGTGATGGTTTTAGCTGTTAGAGCTCTTCACAGCCATCCAGGCTCAAACTAAACTTCAGATTTAACGGGTTTTCTGTGTTAGAAATCTTGGAATTGTAGGAGTTGGAACGCTGCAGCCACCCTCCCCCGATGCCCCAAACAGTAGCAGTTCAAGGGGGAAAAAAGAAAAAAAAAACAAAAAACAACAACTTTGAATCCTTTCTGCAGTTAAAGCCTTAAACATTTCAGAAGTCCACATTATACATTTTTCTGTATTTGTGACTGCATAAAGAGACACTGTTGAGGTCAGTACAACTTTATGCCAAGAATCTAAAAACGCTGTGAGTGTAAATTTACTGCTTATGTTCGGAAATACACCGCCAAGATTGTCATAATACTAAGTTTAAACCAGCAGCTTTCTGCCCAACTCTATTTTTAAAAGTAGTTGATTCTATTTTGGGTGGAGATCAGGGGCTTTGGTGTTAAGTAGACCTGAGTTCCATTTGTGGTTTTGTAACTTATTTGCTATGACCTTGGGCAAATTACGGTTAGTTTCATTCTCTGTATAATAGGGATAATACCTGCCTTGCAGAGATGTGAAGATTAGATGGTATGTATTTACTTGGTGGTCAGTAAATGGAATCGATTATTTAAACAATGGATTCCTTTGAGTGGAGATACAGTGTTACGTTTTACTTATCTCATTTAATCTTAAGTTTTGTACATCTTTAATTTTTTAAGAAACAGCCTTTTTGGGATTTTGGTACAAAATTATTTGATTTCAGAATATTTATATGTGGGTGTATGCTGTGTGATTAACTTCTTAAAAGTACAGGAGATCTCAGTTATACATGAGAAACTTTTCAGTGTCCTCAGAAGTAATTGACAATACCCTGTGGACTGACAGTACTAATAGAATCTAATTTCTCTTGAATATTTCTTTACTGCTTAATGTGCATTAATAAGTTGAAGGGTGAAAGTTAAAATGGAGTTTGTTTGATGATTTCAGACAAACTACGTAAAATGCCTATTTGACTTTGGTTCTTTGTGGTAACAAATGTTGGTGCCCCAGTAACTTAATCGGCTTATAATACTCAGTTAATTTCAGAATTATTGAAAGCTAAAGAAATATTGTGGCTTTTTGGTAAATATGTGTGGGTGTATTGAAGTTATGCAGTGACTCTGTCAACAGCTCCACTGAAGTATTTACGTTCTGTAAGATTTGTTTAGCGTTTTAGGCACTTTACGCATACTGTTAACTGAGAGTCAATGCTGTACCTGTGTTTGTGTGAATTCTTAACTATTTTTGCTGTTTTCCAGTTTATTTCCAAGGAAAAGTAATATGTTATACGTCTGGAAGTATATTTTTGAAAAGCCCATTGTTAGGGAGCGGTTTCTACAGCTTTCGCTGCTATTTATATAAATATAATTTTGTTGCTGTTAGTATAAAAAAACTAATACTGTTAGTCCGGGGCAAGAAATTAAAGCATTTCCTCTGGGATATATGGAACGTTTGCATTTAATGACTTGTCAGTTTTTATTTTAATGACTTTAGGAAATATTTTTCATGACAACTGTTTCAATTCTATGTTTGTAGTGGGTTTTAATTAGTATGTGTTTTTGATACGACACCTTAGAATTCCAGTAAGAAAATAAACAATGAAAATTATGTTTTCTAGGGCAACGCTAAGTGTCCTGTTTCTAAGTTGTTGTGAGAACGAGGTAACCAAGGATATTAGAAATAGATCTAAAATAAGATAGGATCTTATTGAGACCTGTTTTTGGTCTGGTCACAGATTTGTCCTTGTTTAATTTTTACCTAGAAGGAACCAAGGAAATTAAGTAACTTACGTAGCCAGTATAGCAACTCTTGTGAGCTTGAGATGAGCATGAGCAAAAATGGAAGAAAGGACTGTGAGATAAGTGGAATCATGGGAATGATTCATTTGTTGAACAAGTAAATGTTTAGTGAGCTTTGCTGGCAGGACTGGAGGAGTACAGGGACCTGTAGAACGTGGTCTGGGGCTTCTGGGAGCCTTATTGACTTAGTCAAAGCTCATTGGCTATAGAGTAGGGGGATATACAAAATGGAAAGAGCAAGATAATTTGTTTTAAGGTGTTTTTATTTGCCCTAGTTTTAACAAAACTTTCTTAGACTTATTAGGCATTTTGTACCATTTACTTGACTATTACTGTGATACATTACATGACCACTGCCTTTAGTGTTAATCTTTGCAAAGATCTTTTTGTTTCTACAATTGTAATGCAAGCCTTCTTATAAAATATTCAAACAATATAGAAACAAAATGAGAAGGTGGTATGTGTGGGGTAGGGAGACCATTGCTAGGAGATTTTCTTCATTATGTGCTTTTTTTGTTTTTTACTGTAAAAATTGTGGGAGACTTTTAAGTAGCCTACATATTAAAGCATTTTGAGATGTGTGATAGAGCACTGCTTCTCTGAAATTCTTAAAAATTCTGAAGTTTAGGCTGGGTGTGGTGGCTCATGCCTGTAATCCCAGCACTTTGGGAGGCCGAGGTGGGCGGATCACAAGGTCAGGAGATCGAGACCATCCTGGTTAACACGGTGAAACCCCGTCTCTACTAAAAAAAATACAAAAAATTAGACGGACGTGGTGGCATGCACCTGTAGTCCCAGCTACTTGGGAGGCTGAGGCAGGAGAATCGCTTGAACCCAGGAGGCAGAGGTTGCAGTGAGCTGAGATCACTCCATTGCACTCCAGCCTGGGCGACAAAGCGAGACTCCGTCTCAAAAAAAAAAAAAAAAAATTCTGAAGTTTAATGGTGTGATGGACATTTAGAGGGAAATGGAATACAGTTTTTAAGCTCAGTTTTATAGTCAATTAGTGTTTTATATTACTGTTGCTTAAAAACATTAAGAAAGGTAGATTTAGGAATAAACCTTTTGAGATAAAAAAAATACAGTGCAGTATTTTATTGCATCACTGAAATGGTGACAAGAAAAAGTATGTGATATACAAATTAATCCTGCAGTCTAACTCTTGACACTGTTTGCCTTGAACAACTAAAAACAAAACTCAGTAAATTTGAGATGAGACTTTAAATGCAAAAGCTGAAATGTGATTGGATTAGTATATAAGTGACATTAAAATTCTACATATACATTGGATGTTTTTGCTAAGAGAATTGCAAAGACATCAGTTTTAATATCTATAAATAGCATATTAGTGTGCTGTGAAGAATTACCTAATTTCGTGGTTTACCTCTATAATGTGATTGTTATAAAATACTGCTTTACCCAGCACCTTGGGAAGCCGAGGCGGGTGGATCACCTGAGGTCAGGAGTTCCAGACCAGCCTGACCAACATGGTGAAACCTGGTCTCTACTAAAAATAGAAAATTAGCTGGGCATGGTGGTGCATGCCTGTAATCCCAGCCACTTAGGAGGCTGAGGCAGGAGAGTCGCTTGAACCTGGGAGGAGGAGGTTGCAGTGAGCTGAGATCGCACCATTGCACTCCAGCCTGGGTAACAAGAGCGAAACTCCATCTCAAAAAAAAAAAAAAAACAAAAAAACTGTGTGTGTATATTGCTTTAGTACTTGCTCTGTATTATACAGTATTTACTAGCCATCATTTATTAGTGAAGTATTCCTGTGGTGGTTTATTGTATTTTCAATATAGTCATGCTAGATACAATTTCATATTATACAAGCTTCCTAGATTAAGGTAATGAGTAGTAAATGTATTAAAAATACTATATCACAGAGGTGAAATTAAGAGTTCTTGGCATATTGGCAGAACAAGATACAGGAAGAAACTGAGAAATCTGGTACATTTTTGCCAGACTTTTGCTGTTTTGATGCCGTGCACACAGTAGGCATTTAGTAAAGATCTTTGAATGAACTGAATATATTCTTTTGGTGAACTGGCAAAGCAGTGATCCCCCAACGTAGTGTGTTTGCATGTTGATTTATTTATTTAATAAATATTTGCTGTGTACTTACTAGATGTCAGGCCCTGCTGTGATGGTATGTGCATTCTAGTGGGATAAAACTGTCAAAAAATACATTTTAAAAACCAGGTAATGGTAAGTGCTATGCAGAAAGTTGAAATAGGATAAAGTATTTGATAATACTTCACTGGGTGGCTACATTTTTGTTGTTGTTTTGTTTTGTTTTTGAGATGCAGTCTTACTCTGTAGCCCAAGCTGGAGTGCAGTGGCGCCATCTTGGCTCACTGCAGCCTTCGCCTCTGGGGCTCAAGCGATTCTCCTGCCTCAGCCTCCCAAGTAGCTGGGACTAGAGGTGTGCCCCACCACACCTGGTTAATTTTTTTGTATTTTTAGTAGAGACAGGGTTTCATCATGTTGCCCTGGGTGGTCTTGAACTCCTGAGCTCAGGAGATCTGGGTGGCTACTTTTAAATTTACTAGTCACTGAAGGCCTTTCTGAATAAGGTGACATTTAAGCTGAGAGCTGAGTAAAAATGAGCACTCGAGAATGAAGAGAATGTTTTCTATAGGGAACTGCTAGAGCAAAGACCTTTAAGAATGTGTTTTGGGTACTGAAAAAAAGCCTGCATTGCTAAGGTGATGGGTAAGAGATAAGGGTGAGTTGGGTAAGAGATAAGAGAGTGAGTTAGGCAAGTGAGTTAGGCTAGGGGTTTTCAGGGTAAACTTGGAAACATTTACAAGCAGGACAGAAATCTTTGTTTCTTTGTCTCTGTCTCTCTTTTCTCTTTTTCCCTCCCTTCCTCTCTCCCTTCCTCCCTCCCTTCTTCCCTTCCTCCCTCCCTTCCTCCCTCCTTTCCTCCCTTCTTCCCTCCCTCCCTCCCTTCCCCCTTCCCTCTCCTTTCCTCTCCTTCCCTCCTTTCCTCCCTTCCTTCCCCACTCCTTTCCCTTCCTTCCTTCCCTTCCTTTTTCAACAAGGTCTTGCTCTGTCACCCAGGATAGAGTACAGTGGCATGATCATAGCTCACTGCAGCCCCAAACTCCTGGGCTCAAGTGATCCTCCACCCTAAGCCTCCCCAGTAGCTGGGACTACGGGGGCATGCCACCACGCCCAGCTAATTTTAGTTTTTTTTTGTAGGGATGGGGTCTTGATGTTTTATCCAGGCTGGTCTCCAACTTCTAGCCTCAAGTGATCCTCCTGCCTCAGCCTCCTAAAGTGCTGGGATGACAGGCATGAGCCAGCACACCTAGCCAAGAAATATTTCTTGTAGGATTTTTAAAGGTTACTTTGATGCTGTGGGGTGGGCAAGAGTGAAAAGCAGAGACATCAGTTAGGGGGCTTGTGCAGTAGTTTTAAGTAATTGCAGCTTGAACCAGGGCAGTAGGAGTGGAGATGTAGAGAAGTAGATGGAATTAGGATATGTTTTGAGAGGTACAGTTGGCTGTACCACTTGCTGTGTCACCTCAGGCAAGTTACTCAGTATGTGCCTTTTGGTCCTCTGCTGTAAAATGAGAATACTAGTATGAAAGTACTAACTTATTGGTATATGGGTTTTGAAATAATATTAACAGTGCTTGGCAATGTGGTACCACTCTCCCTCCATTGTTCTTGCTTAGAAAGCCTCAAATGTGATTAAATTCAACTCAGTGTTTGTACTTGCACCTGAGTGGCCAGAGATGCACCTTGTAGCCACATTGACTTGTCTTGCTTAAATTTATGAACATTAAGGAACTTAAGTTCATGAGCACTAAGGAACATTAAGGCACACTAAGGAACCTTAATTGGGTCCTTAGTATGCAGCACCTGACAGTCTTACAGTTTACTAGTCCAGTCACTCTTCCACTGCCACAGGATGCTTTCATATCATCTAGCCTGCTTATTTTCACTTGATGACCCTAGTCTTTATTTGATTGAGAATTTGGAAATAATCGAGACAGAATGTCTACAAGGTCCTACCGTAGCTACCTACCTGCTAGCCTCTTCTTACTGTAGATAGTTCTGAATTGTGGGCGGTGCTATCTAAGGCAGGTCCTTCCACTTTTCCACTGTACCTCATCCCCTGTCATGTGTGAAGGACATCACTCCATCAGATCTTTTCTCTTCATCACTGATTTTTCCCATTTCTAGGGTATACAAACATTTTTCCCCATCTTAATGATACACTCCCTTGTGTCCACATCCCTCTTTAGCTGCTGCCCTATTTCCCTGCTTCTCAAGAAAATTCAGGAGTATCTCTTAATTCTGTTTACTTTTTTCCACATCTTGCTCTTTTCAGATCCACCATACTGTTCCTAAAAGGGAGTCCTCACAACTTTGTACTTGTGCTTTGTCCTTAAGCACAATACTTTTAAAAAAGTCTTTCTCCTCTTTATTAAAATGAGAGTAATAATAATTGAACTGCTTTCCTAACAGTTGTGAAAATCAGGTGAGATCATGGGCATGGAAATATTTAGTGAATTGTGAAATTAGAAATAAATTTTGCAGTTTTTAAACAAATCCTGCTTTCATCAGTTTTTATTTCGATCATTTCACTATTCTTTCTTTAAAAGGTTTGTATGAATGAGATATTCTCATTTTCTTAGATTGACATAATCAGCAATTTTGAACAGTGTGTAAAATCAATGAACAAGGTCCTGCCGCGATAGATGCCGTATAGGATTCCAGTTAATTTCTGAAAGAAATTTGCTAAATTTAACCCTACTGTGGCACAGTGAATCGTACGAAGGACACTACACCATCTGTTCCCTGTAAGTTTAGATAAATAAATGTTTTTTATAGTGTCACGAAAGCTAATTTTACAACTGAATGAGCTTTATAAAACTTGTAAACATTGTATAAACTTATTTCGAGGAGGTAGACCAGCTACAAATGACTGACAATACATGAACAGATTCTGGAGGCTTAAACAGGTAGATAAAGTTGTTCTCACCAATTATTCCCCACACACTTCTGGTTGAATTAGGTAGGCACCTTGTTTTTGCTAGTGCACTGGCGAGATCCATTCTTTGCCTATATAGAAACTTACAGGTATCTTGGGAATTCTGCTTACTCAGTTTTCAAATTCCTGTGTTTCTTTTGGTCTTGTTGAAATCATACTGTTAGGAATATATTTTATAATAGATTAAATTGGCATGAATTGGTTGGCTTAATTTCTGTGGGACAAATGGGTTTTGGATTTCAAATCATATATTTAAAATAATAGCCTTTTGGATCATAACCCCAGTTTGAGGATTGCCTTTGTTATAGTGCCTGCCTCTTCTCACATAATTAATGTTATGCTATCAGTTATTGTTTCAATTGTAAAAATCTCCTGTACTAAATTATTTTATTCCTTGGGTCCAGTGAGGAGATTTTTCCTATTTGTACTGAAGTCAGCTGACATTTTTAAAATCAAATTTGTATTTGTAGAAATATCAGGAACCTACCTTGGGACAGAAATTCCCCAGGAAATACTCTGGTGCCTGTACCAGTTTCTCAAGTGGAAGGAGAAGAACCGAAGAACCAAAAAAGAAAAAGCATTACCTGTAGTGTAAACATAAGAAATCCTTTAGTACACATTTGGCTTTGGGAATCTCCTTTATTTTGCTAATTGTTGATTGCCAAAATTTAATTGCTGCTATTATTTTTTAATTAGGCCGTGTAGTATTAGAACTGCCTTAGACCTTTTTCTTTTAAATGAAATCTCTTTTTCTCTTTGAAAGTCCAGTTTTCCCTAAATTACTCAAGTAATTCAGGCTCATTATAGTAAATAAAGTATAGTAAAATGAGAATGGCTTTTGCCATCGGTCTAAGGAACCACTGTAGACTCTGTATATCCCTCTAGTCTTTTCAAAAAATACATTTACACATAATACATGAACACAACTACACTATTTGTTTAAAAAAATTAATTAGCAACTAGCTTTTTTTCCTCAAACATAGTTATAAATATTCATTTATATTGCATAATGTTCAAATGAATTTATGTACATTAATTTATTTTACCATTTCTCCTTTGTGGATGTTTAGGGTGGTTTTCAGTTTTTAGTATTGCAAAAAGCAATGTAGTGCACATACTTTGTACCTTTGTCTTTGAAGTAGTTACATGAGCACCTCTAGCATTGATTTCTAGATGCGAAATTATTTGGTCAAAGTGTGGCAGATTGCCTTTAAAAATGCCTGGTCAGGCTGAGCGCCGTGGCTTATGCCTGTAATCCCAGCACTTTGGGAGGCTGAGGTGGGCGGATCACGAGGTCAGGAGTTCGAGACCCTCCTGGCCAATGTGATGAAACCCTGTCTCTACTAAAAATACAAAAAATTAGCTAGGTGTGGTGGCGTGCACCTGTAGTCTCAGCTACTTGGGAGGCTGAGGCAGGAGAATCGCTTGAACTCGTGAGGTGGAGGTTGCAGTGAGCCAAGATCGTGCCACTACACTCCAGCCTGGTGACAGAGCGAGACTCTGTCAAAAAAAAAAAAAAAAAAAAAAGCCTGGTCAGTACTTACACACATTAACAATACTTGTTATTTACAAATACCATCTCCCATATGAGTAGCCAGGATTCAAATTTAGAGACTCTGCCTCTAGAGCCTGTATGTTTAACCTTTTTATTTCATCTGCCTTAGTGTCCCCATTAGAAAAAGAGGATAATAGTATCTACCTGTGTACTAGTTAACCTATTACTGCATAACAAATTACCCCAAAACTTAATTAGAACAGTAAACACTTACTATTTCATAATTTCTGTGAGTCAGAAATTCAGGGATATTTTAGCTGTGTGGTTCTTACTCAAGAGTCTCAGGAAGTTGGATTTAAGGACTTCATTCTATGCATTAAAGGCTTGACTGGCTGGAGGGTTCCCACTGAAAGTGACTTCCTCACATGGCTAACAGCTTGGTGATGGTTATTGACTGGAGGCCTCAGATCCTCCCCATATGTCCTCATGACATTGTGGCTGGCTTCTCCCAGTGTTAGTGATCCAAGAGAGCAAAATAGAAACGATGGCTTTTATATATAAACCAGCCTCAGAAGTCACACTTTTACTTCAGCAGTATCTTACTGTTCTTGTGGACTAGCCATAATTTAGTATGTGAAGGGTATGTACCAAAGGCTTGAATACCAAGAGATGGGAGTCATTGGGGGCCATCTTGGGTGTTGGCTACTACAACCTCATAGAGATGTAGTACAGATTAAAAGAGTTAATTATTGTGAGGCTCTTAGTACACTGCCTGGCATATGGCAAGTACATAGCCTGCATTAGCTTTTATTCAGATGTTATATTTCAGGGCTACCCATTAAAACTTTACACAATTATTTATACTGTATATAGTTACAACAGTAATAAGGAACAACATAGTTACAAAAGTAAGAAGAAAAAATAATACTGTAACAGTGAGCACGCTGTTATATGGAATATGCAATTGCTGACCTAATTAACAAGCAGTAGCCTAGAAATCTTATGCAAAGTGCTGTGTAAGAAGATTGACATGGCAGCTCATTATACTATCATAGGAATATGATTTACAAGATATTATTTTGATGTCTCATGCATGACCTAAATTTGTCGAATGAAAAATGACTGCTTTTTTAAAGAGACAGAGTCTTGCTCTGTTGCTCAGGCTGGAGTACGCTGACAAGATTATAGCTCACTCCAACCTTGAACTCCTGGGCTCAGTCAATCCTTTCACGTCAGCCTCCTGAGGTAACTGGGACTACAAGCGGGCACCACAGCACCCGTCTAATTAAAAAAATTTTTTTGGAGATGGTGGCTCACTATGTTGACCAGGCTGACCTCAAACTATTGGGATAACAGGGGAAATGACTACTTTTAATGGTTGTTGGCCTGAACTAGAATAGTGCCAGTGCCACAGAGATGCACGGTAGTGCTCACATTAGGGAATAATTAGATGGTAAGTTTAGCTTTGTGGCGGCACTTTTAAATACACTTTATGATTGTCTTCCTTTGGAGGAAAAAAGAAAAACCATGCCCATCATGTTTAATATTATGTTGAGTACGTTTTTATTTTTAAATGCACGATTTTTTAAGAGAGAATTAAGTAGCTAGAAAAAATGTTTGATTTCTTGAATGTTAACCATGTCTTTGTCTCTAGTGGAATTGATGATAAACCACCATTATTTATGTAGTGGGAAATGCAGCACAATGAAAGTTCTAGCCTTGGTTATGTACTGGGACTGTGGTGCTCAGGTTTATATTCACTCTGTTGAGATGGCTTACTGGAATGGGAGCATTGGTGTGGGGCTCAGCGCAGTTAAAGGAGTCATAATTGCATCTGTTGGTGGGCCATATCCTTTCCAAGAGAAACCTTGTGCTGAGTTCATACCTCTTCCTTTGAAGCATCCAGAAAGAAGGCAGTCTTTCTTGCTAATCTGTTTTGAAGTATGCTCAATTAGGTTGGATTAGGGATGATTTAAACAAAGTAATTTAGACACAGTTCTTCTACAGATACATTATGGTTTAAATACCTCTAGGACATCCCGTGAAGGTGTTCAGTAGAGAGTTAAGTGTGCATAAATGAAGGTCAGGGAGAGAGAGCTGGGCTAGAAATACAGATGACATCTGCATGGTTATTGAAACTAGGAGTAGACACGATGGATTATCCTGGAAGTCTAAGTAGCACTTAAAGGGCTGGCCAGGGAGGAGGATTTCGTGAAGCAGTGAATGGAGAGATAGGAAAACCAAAAGTGTGGCATCCTGGAAGCCAAGAGATGGCAGTATGTAAAGGAGGGACAGGTCAGTACTGTCACACGTGACAAGAGGAAGATAGGAGAGGATTAAGAAGTGTGGTATCATTATGGTGTTGCAGAATTCAGTGATGTTGGTAAAGAGCAGTGTTAATGGAATGGCCAGCGGTGGGTGGGGGGGGACTACCAGAGAAAATAAGCAGCAGAATGAGAATAAATTTCATGTTTTTGTTTATCAGCACAGTATTGCTCTCTTTTGAGTAGTTGGTTTGGGATTATGAATAAGTGAGGACAGTGGTGTGTATTTAAGTTTTTGAAGAATTAGATTGTGGGGGGAGAGAGTCTAGGAGGAGACGTGATTGTTAAGTGTTTGTTTTTAAAATGATGAAGTATTAGGTCTAAGTGTGAATGAAAGTGAACTGAGTGAGAGAGAGGCTGAAAAAGCTGGGGGAGATAGGAAATATAATGAATTTAGTAAGATACTGAAAAATACTTGGAGGCGAACCAGAGGACAGGTGGAAATAATTAGGTTTGAAAGAAAGGGATACTTTTTTCATTTAATAGGTGAGAAGGAGATGTAGGTGGGTCTGGATGCAACAAAGTTAGACAAAGATGAAAATAAGTTCCTCTGTCTTCTGTTTTTAATAAGGTAGAAAGTGGTCACCTGCAGACAGTACGAGAGGATGCTGTGAATCAGATTTAGAGTAGAATGCAGATTTGAGATATTCTTTTGGAGGATGGAGAAGAGGGCTAACTAGGGGGAACAGAAGATTTAGTGTATCCTTTTCTCCACTAGCATTTAGAAAACGGTATAAATGTAGATAGGCAGTCTCTTAGGTAAAAGTTGAGATTTGTTAGCTAAGCAAGGTTAGGACAATGAGACACCACAGAGTGGTTGGAGTAAATTTTAGAGGTTGAGTACTGACAAATAAATGGTGTTGGTCCAAATACAGAATTTTGTGTGTTAGGAGCAGCAGAAAGACAAGGAAGTTTTTGATATTAGAAAGAAGGTGATAGGAGCAATGATAGTGAAGATTGAAATGAAAGTAGAGACTCTAGGGACCAAGTCTTAAGGAGATTCAAGAGCAAGTATAGTGAACAGTTAACTAAGAGCTGGTAGGAACAGGAGATTGGTCACTTATAATTTTAAACATGGAGTGGTTTTTAGATGACAAAATTCAGCCTGTAGGGTTCTGTAAGTATAGATTGGATTGTAAGTAAAGATCACTGTTTTGTTCAAGGTAAGGAACAATGCCAGAATTTTAGACAGGTCAGTGCACCTGGTTCCAAAGTCTGGTTCAGTTATTTTCTTTGAAGTGATACTGTTGGGTCAAATCCCCGTGCCTTCCCCCACCACCTTAAAAATGTTGAAGCATCTTGGCATGTTGCCCTCAAAAATTTTGATCATTTGATACTTTAATTCTTATTCTGAGAATGTATTTCTTCACTTTCAATGCCAAGAATTATTCAAAACAATCTTTCCAGTGTGATAGTCTATTGGATTAATAACATGAGGCATCAAAATTTATGTCTTTGGTTACTAATGAGGTTGAGCTTTTCTGTGCTGTGACTGTGTAATTGTGAATTGCCTGCCCAATCATTTGTCCAATTTTTTTATTAGTGCAAAAACAGTTTTGTGCCTTGTCTCTCTCTCTTTTTTTTTTTCTTTTTCTTGAGACAGTCTCATTCTGTCACCCAGGCTAGAGTGCAGTGGCATGATCTTGACTCACTGCAGCCTCAGCCTCCCGAGTAGCTGGGATTACAGGCGTGCACCACCATGCCCAGTTAATTTTTGTATTTTTAGTAGAGATGGAGTTTTGCCATGTTGACCAGGCTGGCCTTGAGCTCCTGGCCTCAAATGATCCGCCCACTTCGGCCTTCCAGGGTGTTGGGATTACAGGCGTGAGCCATGGCACCCAGCTGCCTTTTCTCTTTTTTTAATTGCTTTTTTTTTTTTTTTTGAGATGCAGTATTGCTCTGTCGCCAGGCTGGAGTGCAGTGGCACAATTTCGGCTCACTGCAACCTCCAGCTCCCTGGTTCATTTGGTTCCCCTGCCTCAGCCTCCCGAGTAGCTGGGACTACAAGTGTGCACCACCATGCCCGGCTAATTTTTTTATTTCAGTAGAGACGGGGTTTCACCATGTTGGCCAGGATGATCGTGATCTCTTAACCTTGTGATCTGCCCGCCTTGGCCTCCCAAAGTGCTGGGATTACAGGCATGAGCCACTGCGCCTGGCCTCTTAATTTCTTTTTTTTTTAATTTTTATTTGTCCTTTTTTTCTGTTTGAGTTGCATGTTTAGCCTGTTAATTTTTCTTCTTTATTGAATAAACATTTTTAGTGTTTAGTCTACAATTACTTCTTTAGCCAAATCATATAGGTATCTTGTGTTGAGCTCCCATTGTTATGTTCTTAATATTCTGTGTTTGTTTTGTTTTGTTTTTGAGACAGAATCTTGCTCTTGTCATCCAGGCTGGAGTGCAATGGTATGATCTTGGCTCACTGCAACCTCTGCCTCCTGGGATTCAAGCAGTTCTCCTGCCTCAGCCTCCGAAGTAGCTGGGATTACAGGTGCCAGCCACCATGCCCGGCTAATTTTTGTATTTTTAGTAGAGATGGGGTTTCACCATGTTGGCCAGGCTGGTCTCGAATCCAACCTTAGGTGATCCGTCTGCCTTGGCCTCCCAAAGTATGGGATTACAGGCGTGAACCACTGTGCCCAGCCTTAATATTTTTTAATCAATTTTGATTTCTTTGAAGCAAAAGTTATTTAGTAGTAAATTACTAAAGGGCCTTTTTTTTTTTTTTGGTCCAGCTTTTCTTAATTTATGGGGCTTTTTTTTCCTTTGGTCCTCCCTCATTTTTGATATAAAGCTAGAGAGTCCCGTTACTTATTTAAGCGTTTTGAAATATGAAATATTTAAGTCTGTCTTATACTTCATTGTAACCTGTCAAGAATGAGATATTCCTGCATGTTTATTTTCTTTTATTTGTTGCTTCATATGTGTCTTTTTTTCTTCACATATGTCTATGCTCTGTTCATTTATTCATCCAGCACAGGATAATGGAGCACCCACTCCATGCCAAGCCACTATGTATTGTTCTGAGAACTGGGTTTATGCATAGAGATACACTTGGTCTGTAATTTATTTGTAGTTTTCCTAAATAATCACACTTGCAAATATTGTATCCTTTTGTCCCTCTACAAACAAAGTTTGAGAAGAAATTTACCATACACCACTGAGTGCTCCACCCATGCTCTGCCATCAGTTGGTTGACTTGGCAAGTCTCTTAGCATGTAGGATAGCAGTCTTCAAATGACTTGGTTTCAAGACTTGTTTACATTTAAATAAGTTATTGAGGGCTCCAAAATAACTTTTGTCGATATGCTTACGTTTTATTTTATTTATTTATTTTTTAAGGCAGATTCTCACTCTGTCACCCAGGCTGGAGTGCAGTGGTATGATCTTGGCCCACTGCAACCTCCACTTTTCAAATGATTCTTGTACCTCGTCCTCCCAAGTAGCTGGGATTACAGGCATTTACCGCCATGCTTGGCTAATTTTTTTTTTTTTTTTTTTTTTTTTTTTGCATTTTTAGTAGAGACAGGGTTTTACCATGTTAGCCAGGCTGACCTCGAACTCCTGGCCTCAGGTGATCCTCCCACTGCAGCCTCCCAAAGTGCTGGGATTACAGGCATCAGCCACTGCGCCTGACCCAATGTACTTACATTTATTAATGTTTACCACATTAGAAATTAAAACAAACTTTATTAATGTTCATTTAAAAATAAATATAAACTTATTATAATAAATATTATACTTACTTTTTTTGCAAAAAATAACTATCTGCCAAAACAACAGTAACACCAAAGCACTGAAAAGACTGACACTGTTTTACTTTTTTTTTTGCAAATCTGATGTTTGGCTTTAAAAAAATTTTACTTGTGTTTTACCTTTGAAATGGGGAACAGTGGAAAATAGTGGATTGAGATTTTTGTGATGGATTTCTACTTTGGGGAACATCAGAATAGCAGTGATGCTACTGACCCATTTCAGGAAGATCAGTGCAGCAAGGAAGGTTTATATGGTATTTGCAAAATACTCTGCTTGGAGTCATAAGGGGTGGTAACCTCTTTATTTCCGTCTCCTCATCTATAAAATTGAGTGGGTGACATTTCCTTTTGTCCCAGAGTTTTGAGGATTGTGTGAAATTGTATGTTAACATCTGAAGCTAAATAAGCTTTTTTTATCTTTGAAGTACACACCATCACTTTTTAATTGTACAAAAGAAACCTTTATTTGTATCCCTTTCTGTCTAAAACTCAAGAGAACTGTCAACTTAGATAATTTTCAAGAAGTATTGAATTTTTCTCCTTGGTTTTTGTGCCTTTAAAGTAATGAAAGTAGTTCTATAAAGGCAAATGGGAAAGCCATCTCTGCCTTTTTTACTCCTGTACCTCCCTACTTAACAAGTTAAGAAGTTCATTAGACTCATTTTTGTAAATACTGTATAATGAGCCTAATTGTCACACAATTTTAGGAAATGAAGAGACTATAAAGGTCATGGATTCCAGCTCCTCTTACAGATGAATGAAGCTGATGCTGAGAGAAGCTAAGCTGCTTGTTTAAGAGCATTGAAGTTGTCTGGAGGTTTTCAGCCTGGGCTGAACTTTGGAAACACCTGTAAAACTTTTTAAAAATACTGATGTCAAGGTCCCACTCTCAGAGATTATGTTTTAATTGGTGTTTGTAAAGTCCCCCTGGTGATTGTAATGAAACATAACACTTAAAATGAATCATTTGCCTTTTAACATTCACAATTTAACCTTTAACATTGAAGTATTCTTATTGTTGATGAGACTGTTTTATTTCTTAGATTTTTTAGGTGATCAAGCTTTACTTTCTTGCTCCGTGGGAAATAAACCCATGAACAGTATATAAACCAAAACTTTGATGTTGAAAACTTTATTTTAAATTATCAGTTCAACTAGTAAATTTTTAAAAATCTGTGTGTATCAGATGGTGTTAAAGTTTATGGCTATCATAACTAGTAATATGAGTTAATGTTGAATCTTTTTTGATATAAATTGGAAAAACATAATATTTGAGGTTTTGGAAACATTAATAATTATGTATATAATTTTTGTCTTCCATTATTTATTCAGATTCTGGATTGTCATTTTTTATTTAGACTTTTTCCAAAACAAATCTTTATTTTTCCTATAGGTGAAAGCACTGAAAGAGAAGATTGAATCTGAAAAGGGGAAAGATGCCTTTCCAGTAGCAGGTCAAAAATTAATTTATGCAGGTATGAATTAAATATTAAAATTAACATGCCATGTCTTGATATTCTTTTAGTTTTAGAAATGTTATCTTATATATTGTAGTATATTCAAATTGTCAGAAAAATGATTGTACAAATAAAAGCAGTGAAAGAGCAGTCATTTGAATCTAATATTAATATTCAATCTTCTCTTTATTCACATTTGCCCTGTGTATTTTTCCATCAAATGGTATTAGTTTTGTTTTATCTTTTGTAAGCATCGTGTAACTGGCTTTTGTTTTTTTAATCAAACGGAGCTTTTTTTTTTAAATTGAATTGAAACCATTTATACTGATTGTGTTATTATTAGTATGCTTGGAATCATTCCTGTAAAATTATTTTAACCAAAACTAACTGAAGAGTACAGAAAAAACACATCACACAGACACCTACAGGAAGAAAAAAAATTAATATTCAGATTATGTAAAGAATTCTTAGAAATCAGTAAGGAAAGGATGACCAATAAAGCAACAAAGGATAAGAGTAGGAATTATACATTTGACTAGCCTCACTAATAACCAGGAAAATGTATATTAAAAATACATTTGATATCCAAATTTTTAGAGAAAATGCTTTCATTGTAGATGTTAGTAAGGTGGGTGTTTGATCACCCATGGATTCTTCTCTTTTTCTGAATAGTGTTTCCTAAAGTGAGACAGCCTGGAGGAAATGCTAACCTGGTGATTCAGTCCCATTATTTTTATAGGTCAGAATTCAGAAGCCTAAAGAAGCGGACATAAAATTCAAATTTCCAGTTTCTTGTTTTGGCCTGTTTTCTCATTCCTATCCATATTCCTTTCTGACTTAATGTTAGCAGCTTTTGATTCAATAGCTTTTTAAAGGTGGAAAACTAAATTCATGTAGCAAGAAACACTAGAGAGTCCTAGCTACCTAATAGTGACCTTCAGCACGACCACAGTTTTGTGTACTTCGTGCATTTCTAAGTTCTGTAGCATCTTGCCCTTTCTTGTGTATCATGTCGTTTTCTGAAGTACTTTTAGTATCTTGCTTTGATAGTGTTAGAACATTTCTGATTTATCAGATATCAGTATTTTGGGGAGCAGGAAATTTGTTTCTCTCCCTTTCTTCATATCATAAAAGAATATAGGTTATTTTCCAGAGGACCCCTGTGCAATCGGAGTATTGAATTTTCTTTATCTTCATGATCTCCTCCTTTTCAGGGCCTCTTTCATATTTCCTTGCCCAGTAAGTCTTTTATATAATCAATACATTTGTAAAAATTGATTGTCATTCTATATACACTATATAAGTTTGACATCTTTTAGTCAAATGCTTATGCTTTTTAGTTTTATTTGTTTGAGAGAGGGTCTTGCTCTGTCACCCAAGCTGGAGTGCAGTGGTGTGATTATACTCGCTGTATCCTTGAACTCCTGAGCTCAGGTGATCCTCCTGCCTCAGCCTCCCAAGTAGCTAGGACCATAGGCATGTGCCACAATGCCTGGCTAATTTTGAATTTTTTTTTTTCATAAACAGGGTCTTGCTATGTTGGCCATGCTGGTTTCAAACTCCTGGCCTCAAGCTATATTTCCTCCTCAGCCTACCAAAGTGTTGGGATTACAGGTGTGAGCCACCATGCCCTGCCACTTAGGAGTTGTTTTATTTTTATCTTGATTGATTGGTTTTTCTTTGGGAAAAGTATTAACTGATAGAATTTATGTTGGTGATTCATATTTTAATATTTCTGAAATATTCATATTTCGAGTAGAAAGTTGTTTTAACTGAAGTGTAAGAGAAAGATTATGCCTTAAATGATTTTTTTTTCTCTTAATGTATTAGGCAAAATCCTCAATGATGATACTGCTCTCAAAGAATATAAAATTGATGAGAAAAACTTTGTGGTGGTTATGGTGACCAAAGTAAGTTTCAACCTCATTCTGTATATCTTTATGCATGTAGGTCTTTTTAAAAATGATGATCACAAGTCCACACAATGGACACAGTTTATACACATCCATAGTGGTGTACACTTAACTACTATGAAAGGTTTTTAAGAATTTACCTTAAGTGAAACATAAAGTTATTAATGTTTTACATTAATTACACATTAAACTATAATATAGTTTTAATAAAATTTTATGTAAATTAAAACAATTGAAAAATAAAATGTCATGTTAAAATTATTTTTGCTACAGTAGTGAAATCATTATATAATTCTTTTAAAATGTCTTTATAAGTGGAATAAATGTTTATTCTGTAGTTTTTGTAAGCTTGCCTTAAATAGACCTGCTAAATTACGTACTAGTCCTAACAGATTCCTCAAGACAGAAAAGGCATGAAAGCTTATTATTACAGTGATAGTTCTTAGTGAAAGAATATGTTTTTAGAAACTAAAAAAAGGGAAAAGATAACTAAAGAAATGATGGAATGATTTTTATGAGGAAGTTTTTTTTGTTTTTGTTTTGTTTTTTTTTTTTTGAGACGGAGTCTCGCTCTGTTGCCCAGGCTGGAGCGCAGTGACGCTGTCTTGGCTCACTACAAGCTCTGTCTCCCGGGTTCATGCCATTCTCCTGCCTCAGCCTCCCTAGTAGCTGGGACTACAGGCGCATGCCACCACGCCCGGCTAATTTTTTTGTATTTTTAGTAGAGACAGGGTTTCACCGTGTTAGCCAGGATGGTCTCGATTTCCTGACCTCGTGATCCGCCCGCCTCGGCCTCCCAAAGTGCTGGGATTACAGGCGTGAGCCACCGCGCCCAGCCTGGAAGTTTTAAACAGATACTTTTTTGTGATTTAGTAGGCTGGAATGTATTTGGAACAATTTATAAAATTAAATTTTTTTTAAAGCAGAGAATGAACATGGATTTTTTTAAGAGACTATTTATATACTTGTTTATTTAAAGATATATAATGCAGTGTAGAATTAAGAGACAAATGGAGAAGTGGTACTCATGACATTCATTTTTAGGATTGGATTGTCATAATCTGAGAAAGAACAGTGTTACTTGTAGCACTGAAAATGAGTTTAAATCACTAATTGAAACCACTTCATCAAAGGCCAAAAGTGGATTAAATGTGGGTTTTTTCTCAAAGTCACAAAATAGTTAATAGTAATAGAAAATAGAGTCGAAGAAATAAATTCTAATTACCACATGCTTTTGTACTGGGAGCAAGCAGCTAAATAGTTTACAAGTGTTGAACATTTTTTAATTCATTAAGAACCATGTTGATTTTGCTATACTTAAGAACTTAAGTCATTATATGTTAAGTTTAAAAACAAGCAGAATCGTGAGGAAACCTTGTATCATCTAGGTTTTTTTATTCAACTGTGGTAAAATATAACAAACTTCCAGTTTAATCATTTTAAGTGTACAGTTCAATAACATTATAGTTACATTGTTTTGCAGCTATCACCATCATATAAGTGGAATCCTATGGTATTTGTCTTTTTGTGACTGGCTTATTTCACTTAGCATAATGTCATTGAGGTTCATCTGTCTATGTTATAGCTTGTGCCAGAATTTGCTGAACTTTTAAGACTGAATACTATCCTATTTTCCTATCTAGTTTTAGCATACATAGTACATAATGGGAAATGTGATAGCCACACATTTAAATATGTTTTGTTACTGGTCTTAGTTTCTTTTAATATTACAGTGATCCTGACTGTTTAGAACACAAGAATTAAGCAGAAAAAGTCTCAATAGGTGCGTGTGTTTGAGGAATAGATACTTGAAGCCTATCATTATATTGCATACAGTCCTTTTGTTTTTCCTTAAAGTCTTTTATTCCTAATATTACATAGGATTCTAATGATATTTATGATTGTTTTATTTGAAGTTAATAGAGGACAACTATGAAAAGGGAGGGAATGCTGCTACAGTAAGGCATTATGGAAGCACTGAGAAATGACCTTATTAATACAAAGAAGGGAAAGGAAAAAGCTATTAAGATCAAAAGCAAGAATAAAAACTAAAAAGCAGAGAAGGGCTTGGTACTGTTTAGAATAAAGTATAAGTAGCTGTTCTTGGCAGTAGGAACCTTGAAGGGAAGTTACATTGCAATATTATTTTGATAACAATTAAGGAAAATATTAAATGAGTATACCACTTTTAAAAATACATTTTTATCTAGATTGGTTATTATAAAGTTTTGGTGCTTAAGACTCTAAATTTTCACCTTTGTGAAGCTCCAGTTTATCCAGAATAACTGAAGATCCAGAATGATCTCAGGATTTCAGCTCATTTTAGTTTTAGAACAGTAATAATCTGCAGAATATTATATTGGCTGTTAAGAAAGTTAAGCTAAATAGGAAAAGAAGGGAGTAATGCTACTAGTATTTTTTAAAAACCTATCACCTTTCACTAACCTTTTTCCTAGTGTCTTCTTTATTAGTTCAAATCAAAAAGACAAGGCAGCTCATTGGTTTTAGAGTTTGTTTATGCCTGTGGCAAATTATGTTGAATTTAAGCCTTGTCTTCCACTAAAACAGCTACCTTTTGTCCTTGGGAAAGTTATGAACTAAACAGGTAGCGAGCATTGAGAGGCCTTAGGAGAAGACTAAAAATCATGTATGATTTTTACACATGTACAGTTGACCCTTGAACACCACTGAGCTTAGGAGTGCTGGCCTCTCCCCTACAGTCAGAAATCTGCATATACCTTTTGACTTGCCCAAAACTTACCTACTAATAGCCTACTCTTGACCAGAAGCCTTACTGATAACGTAAACAGTGGATTAATACATGTTTTATATGTTACATGTATGATATACTGTATTAAAGTAAGCTAGAGAAACTATTAAGAAAATCATGGCCAGGTGTGGTGGCTGATGCCTGTAATCCCATCGCCTTGGGAGGCCAAGGTGGGCGGATCGCTTGAGCTCAGGTGTTGGAGACCTGTCTGGGTAACATGGCGAAACCTTGTCTCTACAAAAAAAAAAAATACAAAAATTTAGCAGGGAGTGGTAGTGTGAGCCCGTAGTCCCAGCTACCTGGTGTTGGGGGCGGGGGCAGTGGCTGAGGCAGGAGCCTTGGGAGGTTGAGGCTGCAGTGAGCTGTGATCATACCACTGCACTCCAGTCTGGGCGATAGAGTGAGAACCTCTCTCAAAAAGAAACAAAAGAAAATCACGAGAGAGAATATTTTTAGTGTTCATTAAGTGTAAGTGGATCATCATAAAGGTCTTCATCCTTGTCTTCACACTGAATAGGCTGAGAAAGAGAAAGGGTTGGTATTGCGGTCTCAAGGTGGCAGAGATGGAGGAGGTAGAAGGAGAGGCAGGCACACTCAGTGTAACTTATATTGAAAAAAATTATCATGTAAGTGGACCCAGTGCAGTTCAAACCCTTGTTGTTCAAGGGTCAACTAATTGTTTTTTTGCTCTGTGGGAAGCTTTATGGCTCTATTTCCAGTTCAGAAAGTGCTGAGCGTGTGGAGGTAACTTAATTTGGCCTTTATTTTTCTGCTTAATTACATATATGTCTGAAAGTATTGTGAACCTTTTTGTACTTGGATCTGTTGATTTGTAGTCAATTTTGGGATTTTCCTCCCTCTTCTAAAAATACAGTACAACAGAATATTTGACATGTTTATAAATAAACATTTATACTGCCATTTCAAGAACATTATTTTGGGCTGGATGTAGTAGTTTATGCCTGTAATCCTAGCGCTTTGGGAGCCCGTGGTGGGAGGATTGCTTCAGGCCCGGAGTTCAAGACCAGCCTGGGCAAGGTAGCAAGACCCTGTCTTTAAAATTAAAGAAAATTATTTTATTAATGCTTTTAAGTGGTATTAGGTACCTTAAAGTTACAACTTAGGTACATAAAGTTTTTTTGGGAAAATGATACGGTTTATATCTATATATATATATATATATATCTATATATCTATATATATTTCAAATTTTTTATTTTATATTAACTTGATATGAAGATGGAAATTGTTGGGTAAAATTAATTGTGGTTGATAGTTAAGATTAACATACGCTGTCATGAGCTTTGAAAGAGTAACCATGAGTCAGATTGTTAATATTGATCATTTATTGTGTCATTTTACAAAATTATTTTCAAGTTATAGGTTGTTATTAGTGCTATGTTTGTGGCATCCTGTAACGGTACAGTCTAATTAGAGATCAGGCAGTATGTAGTATTTTATTGTAATTATTTTGTCTTTTAATGTGTTTAGCCCAAAGCAGTGTCCACACCAGCACCAGCTACAACTCAGCAGTCAGCTCCTGCCAGCACTACAGCAGTTACTTCCTCCACCACCACAACTGTGGCTCAGGCTCCAACCCCTGTCCCTGCCTTGGCCCCCACTTCCACACCTGCATCCATCACTCCAGCATCAGCGACAGCATCTTCTGAACCTGCACCTGCTAGTGCAGCTAAACAAGAGAAGCCTGCAGAAAAGCCAGCAGAGACACCAGTGGCTACTAGCCCAACAGCAACTGACAGGTAGGAACTGGATTCTAGGACATTCTATCTCAAAATCCGTGTTTAACAGGAACTTCATGCATTTATTTTGATTATTGTTTTGATCAAACCGACTATATCTATTACGTTAAGCTTTTTTTAAATGTTTGACTAAAACATATGCTGCGTCTGTTTTGATAGCTTACTAAGGAGAATATAAGTACAAATTTTCATAATCAGATTTCTGTACTCTGTTGATTTGGGCAGGGTGGGGGGCAGTGGAAAGGAGAAAGCAGGTGAAAGTCATTTTTTTTTTTTTGAGTAGAAACGTTAGGAAATACAAATAACCAAAATGAATAAGGATTACATCATGACATTGCCACCCTGATCATCATTTGTACTTGATCTGTATTCTTTGTGGTCATTGTCATATATATCATAAGCATCCTTCCATGTTAGTAAATCTTTCCCGTAGTTATATAGCATTGTGTTTGGTTCTGACATTTGTTAGCTCTTGTAACCTGAACCTATGGACTATTTCAGTTTTTCACTGTTGTATCTGTATCTTTGTGAACTTGTGAGAAATTCAGGCTTCTGCCTGTGTGGATCTTTAGGGGAAAAAAAAGGAAAAGAGTGTTGAGATATTTGAGGAGCAAGAAATAATTTCTTGTGGGAAGTTGACAGCAGAGACACCTCAACTAAGTGGCTGCTTAGGCAGTTAGGATTATTGAGCAGTTTAAGACAAGACTTTTGTTTTTCTCCCCAGACGATCAGGTAAAATGACCAAAGCAAATGCTTAAGTCAGAGTTCTCTTGGTTGGAAATCATACAGCACAATTCCTTGATCTAAGAGCATGAGTTATATTATGACCAGCCTTCACTGGCACTACAGCTGTTTGTATTTTGTGACTTAGTGCAACTCAGGACCTCAGAGGCAGTAGTTATATGATCTTTGGAGTCAGAATCAGACACAGTGGAAAACTATGCAGTGACTGGAAGGGTTTACAGACATGGAAAGGGGTTAAGATATATATGACAATGATCAGAAAGATATAGTTGTGATCCTTCATTTTAGTGTTCTGCCTTTGAGTGTGGTTTCTGTGTCTGACTTAGTCAACCATGTTTGGAGGAGTCTGAGCCACCTGGTTCATTGCTTACTTGGGGGTCTCTTTCTAAATAATTGATTCCCTAAGAAGACAACATGGGTTTAGGCAATAGAATATTTGCCCTGTTACTTGCCTAGAACACTGCTTTAAGCATTCTATGACACCATTGCCTAACTTGATCCATCTTTCCCATGTACAACTAGAAATGCATTCAACCATCTTATCCTAGTGGATACCACCTAGAGTCAGGTTAAGCTGTTACATCAAAGGGCTGTTGATCAGGTCTGTATATGAGAGGGAACTTACGCATTTAAAAAATTGGTTTACTAAAGCACTTAAATATTACAAACTTAATATGTCTTAAGTCAGCACAATACATCTTATTCTCTTAATTGCTTTAAGCTCCTTTTTAAAAAAAAAAAGCTTACAGTGTGAGAATTTTAGAGTTGATCAATACATTTTAATGTGCTAATGCCATCAATTTAAATTTCTTTCTTCATTAACTCCATTTTTTTTTTTTTTTTTGGAGACAGAGTCTTGCTCTGCCACCCAGGCAGGAGTGCAGTGGCGTGACCTCGGCTCACTACAACCTCCACCTCCCGGGTTCAAGCGATTCTCCTGTCTCAGCCTCCTGAGTAGCTGGGATTACAGGCGCATGGCACCATGCCCAGCTTATTTTTGTATTTTTAGTAGAGAAGGGGTTTCACCATGTTAGCCAGGCTGGTCTCGAACTCCTGACCTCAGGTGATCTGCCCACCTCGGCCTCCCAAAGTGCTGGGATTATAGGCATGAGCCACCATGCCCAGCCCATTAACTCTAGTTTTATTTTCTTCCTGGAGTTGCAGTTTTACTTACCTATTCTAAAAAGAGCCAGGGTTATCTTTTCAGACCTTTTCAGACCTACAGAAGTTGCATAAGTAACTTGATGGTCAGTGATCCAGGAAAGCAGACACTAGAGTTTGTTACTTAGTTGGACTTTGTACACCAACTGCTTACTCTTATTTCTCAAAATTTTACCTCAGAAATACAACACAGGAAGAGAGGAATGAGGGAAACTCAGAAAACAAGCTGCTTAAATGTGTCTTAGTTCCTTTGTCTTTGCTGGAAAATATCTAGTGTCTTGTGAAGCACAAAACCTAGTGAATAATTATCAGGAGATAAGCTGTTAAGACTTTGTGGAGTGACTTTGTGGGAAGTCTGTTTAGGACCACTGACCTGACGTTTTGTTATTAGGGATTTGTTTCTTTAGGTCAATTTTGTTCTTTTAAAAATTGTCTGTTACAGTGCAAATTCCACTTGATATCTACCTGAGAGAAACTGCACTTGTGCACATGACTGTATTGTTTGTAGTAAAGGACAAATTGGAATCCTAAATTGACCTGTGGTTTATTCGTAGTAGAGAACAGGACTACTCAAAGTGTGGTAGTCAATAGGCTGCATCAGCATCACTGGGAGTGTGTTTGACATGAATTCTTGGGCCACCCTGGACCTGTAAATCAGAATTATCTGGGAGTGGATCCCAGAAATCAACAAGCCCTCCTGGTGAATACTTGGGATTCTCGGACTTTGTAAAATTTGAGAAACCCTGATAGCTGATACTACAAGACAGTTAAAGTATGTAATGTATAAGCATGTTAAATGAGTGTGGTTTTGAGGCTTTGTTATTGAGTGAAAAAAGCAGGTTGCAGAAGAGTATAGGCAATAACCATAAACCAGACAAAACCCATAAACAACATTGTTCATTTTCTGTGGGTATGCATGTTAATGTGTAGAAGAAAAGAAGGCAAGCGTTGACATATAACTAATGAGTGGTTTCCTCTGTGGTTGGAGAGGGGAGAAGTAGTGAGACAGAATCAAGATTAAAGAATAATGGTTAAAGTCTATGTACATCCAGTCTTATCTGTGGTGTTTAAAGAGAACTTTTTAAAAACAATGTGTGGGCCGGGCGTGGTGGCTCACGCCTGTAATCCCAGCACTTTGGGAGGCAGAGGCAGGCGGATCACAAGGTCAGGAGATTGAGACCATCCTGGCTAACACAGTGAAACCCCGTCTCTACTAAAAATACAAAAAATTAGCTGGGCGTGGTGGCGGGCGCCTGTAGTCCCAGGTACTCAGGAGGCTGAGGCAGGAGAATGGCGTGAACCCGGGAGGTGGAGCTTGCAGTGAGCCGAGATTGCGCCGCTGCACTCCAGCCTGGGCGACAGAGTGAGACTCCATCTCAAAAAAAAAAAAAAAAAAAACCAATGTGTGATAATAGTGTAAATTATTCTAAGGGAGATGTGTCTTACCGGATTTTAAAATGTATTATACAGTAATGATTAAAACAGTTTGGAATGGCTCATATTAGAAAGATTGGTCAGCGAAATCAACAATAGCTTTGAAATAGACCCAGATAGATACAGGAACTTAATATAAAGGTACAGTTTCAGAACAATGTGGGGAAAATGCTATTGAGATCTCACCATCTAGAATGAAAAAAGAATGACCCCTCATACTGTACACCTGCAAAAATAAATTATAGATGGATACGGATTTAATGTAAAAGCAAAGCCATAAGCTAATGGAGAACAAGGAAACAAAAGAATAGTCTTCACTGTGAGAAGTCATTCTTAAGCAAGACAACCAAAAAAAAAATTATAACAGGAAAGATTGATGAATTTGACTATAGAAAGAATTTAAATGCAGGAAACCAAACTACACATTGCTTAATAAGAGCTTGATTTGGTCTTTTAAATGGAATACTGTGCACATTTGGGAAGAAATTGAAGTAGATTTGATTGTGCCGACATAGAATGATTGTTAAGTTAAAAAAACACCAAAGCAAGACACAAGTTGTTATTCTTTTAAATAGAAATTGGTGTCATAGTGGTTGTCTCTGGGTTAGGGGTAGGAAAAATTTAGTTTTTATGTATTGTGCGTTTTGAAATTTTATTTTCTCTGCATTAGTTTTACAGTATATTTAATGAAGAACTTAAATTATACCAAGGGATTATATTAATCATAGTATTCTTATTGGGTGTTACGATGCCAGACACTTTGCTAAGCACTGTACTAGTGTAGCCCTACCCACAACACTTTGGAGTATATGATACGGTCGTTGACATTGTACTGATGAAGAAACAGGCTTAGAAAGGTTAAGTAATTTATGCATCCAAACTTGAGTTTTCTGCTCTTATTATGTACTACCAAGGGCTTTCTCAGAACTGAAATATAATGTGTGTGTTGTTTTTAATTGAGATACAGGTCTAAGTGTGTATGTGTGTCTGCTTTAATTTAAACTTCTAACTACTACCTTTACCACTGTTGTAAACTTAAGTTTATATTTCTTTGGCTTGCTCTTGGTCTTTCATAATTTTCTGTCTTTTATTGCAGACTTCTCTGTAGTTTCCCAACAGAAACTTAATCTCTTTAAACTGATTTTCATTACATTCAAACTTGGATTTAACCCATATCTACCTTTTTTGCATATGCTATATTTCTTTATTTGAATATCTTCTTTCAGTGTCCTCATTCAGAACTTACCTATAAGACTTCATTATGTAAAGACTTTATAGCCTAATTTGGTTTCTCCATGTGCTATTTTGTATACTGCTTTTGATATTTCTTCTGGTGTGACTTGATTTATAAATTATTTAACTTCTCATGTAAATTATTTCAGGTAAATAATTGTGCATTATCTTTTTTGTATTCAATAGATAGCTGTTAGGATATTATTTTATATATTTTGATATTTAAAGTGATGGAGTCTCAG